>NC_000015.10:85229156-85380672 GCF_000001405.40 Homo sapiens | reverse complement strand
GGCACGGCAGTCTCGGCAGAGCACAGGCGCTTCACCGCGGCTGCTCGGGCTCCGCGCTGGCCCTGCACACAGCTCCAGTCCGCGCATGCGCCGAAAGACGCTCGGGAGGGTGGGCGGGGCACGCGGGAAGGCGGTAACGCCTGCGAGTCCTCCCGTGAGTACACGCGGAGCAAGAACTGCGAGCTGGGATTGCACGGCAGAACTGCCCATCTCGCTGCATGAGACCAATAGTAAGGCTCCTGGACGGGGCACTCAGGTTGCTAAGGGAGGCTGAGGTTGACCGCCGCTGCTGCTCGGCGGCAAAGTGATCAAAGTAGGGTGGCTGGCAGAGGCTGCTCTGGGAAATGCCCACCCACGGTCTCCTCTCCGCCCTGTCTCCAGAAACCGCCCTTCCTCTGTGTACTGGTGGTTACCTGAGCTGCAGCACTTAACCACACATCGTGAAATGATTTACTCCTCTATTTCCCCCACTTCAACTCAGGAAGTGGGGTTTAGTCTTCTGTGTCCACAGCCTAGGACCGTCTAAGGTATTAGGTATTAAATATAGGTATTAAACAAGTGTTGGATGGATGCACGGCGCTATGGCGGAATCACAATTGTGACAGTGCATTCCGTGAACTTCTGGCTACTCGATCACCACAAAGTCATTCCGTGTTCGAGCTGCAAAGGACCTCAAAAATCATCTGGTTGCTTTGGGAAACAAAATGTGGTCCGTGTACCAATGGTGCCGGTAACCACCGGCCCACAGAGGAAGGGCGGTTTCTGGAGACAGGGCGGAGAATATATTAGTTGGTACACGAAGAAACTTCTTTTTTCAAATAGTTAAGTGTTTTTAGTGCGCATTAGGAGGGAAATGCCTATCACGTCAAACCACTGTTTCATTAATGTTATTTCTTAGGTCAAATAAAAAGTGGCAAAAAACGAAAGCACTTCAAGAAAAGTGTTAAGTAAAAAACTGAGACAATTTATATGCAGTTGAAGAACGTGTAAAACTAGTTGATAGTGATTGAAGTAAGAACAGCGGTTAGGTAGGAGGAGAAGATTATTGGCTGGGAAGGAGGAGGAGGGAACCCTCTGGGGTGCTGGTTCTGTATTTTGACCTGGGTGATAGATAACAAAAGTATATACATGAATAAAAAATACATCCAGTGCACTTTAGTGCACTTTGCACATTTTAAACATGTATTTTTAATGTCAGTTTTCAAAAATCTGGTACAGGATATTACCCCCCCGCCCCCAAAAGAAAAGCAAAGATGCAAATGACTGCCATTTGGGAAACACTGATCCAGGCGGCTCACTAGCAGTGACCAAACACCTGAGAAAGGGTATTGTGAATACCTGATGTGTGTGCCAGGAACTTCCATTGTTGAATAGCTCCAAATCTCAGAAATGCTCCTAATGTTGAGCTCTGGTGCTCACATATATTTTCTCTTTTTTTCTTTTTTCTTTTTTTTTTTTTTTTTTTTTTTGAGGCAGAGTTTCACTCTTGTTGCCCAGGCTGGAGTGCAATGGTGCAATCTCAGCTCACTGTAACCTCCACCTCCAGGGTTCAAGCGATTCTCCTGCCTCAGCCTCCCAAGTAGCTGGGATTACAGGTACCCACCACCACACCCGGCTAATTTTTTTATTTTTAGTAGAGACAGTGTTTCACCATGTTGGCCAGGCTGGTCTCAAACTCCTGACCTCAGGTGCTCCACCCACCTCGGCCTCCCAAATTGCCGGGATTACAGGCATGAGCCACCGCACCCGGCCCTATTTTCTTAAGTAACCCTCACCGAATGGCTTTAAAAAAAAAAAAAGAAAAGAAAAGAAAGGCCAAACATGCCCAGTTCTTCATGTGAAATTATTTCTGTATCACTTCATCATGCTGCTCACCCTCTTCCACTGTTCTCTAATCTGTCCTTGTTGATTTTTAAAAACTGGCACAAGGCCTGGCGCGGTGGCTCACACCTGTAATCCCAGCACTTTGGGAGGCTGAGGAGGGCAGATTGCTCGAGCCCAGGAGTTCGAGACCAGCCTGGGCATCAATTGAAACGCCATCTGTACTAACAAATACAAAAATTAGCCAAGCATGGTAGCCCAAATCTTAGCTACTTGGGAGGCTCAGGTGGAAGGATTGCTTGAGCCCAGGAGGCAGAGGTTGCAGTGAGCCAAATCATGCCACTGTACCCCAGCCTGGGTGACAGAGCCAGACCCTATCTCAAAAAAAAAAAAAAAAAGGCTGGCACAGAGAGAGAAGCAGCCTATCATGAGCCGGTCACTTCTCAAAGAACCTGAGTCTTCTGTGAAGCAAGAGTGCTAACCAAGAAAATCACTTGGACCCTAACATTTGATAACCCAGTGAACTTCCCCCTTAGAACCTAGCTTGTTTGTTTCAGAGGCAGCAGTAAATGTTACCATGTCATCTTTCTACGGACACTGACAACACCGTTCCCTGCTCCCCGCCTCAGCAGGATTTACACCTTTCCAGTGGGCTGCAGGAAAAGTTAAGAGTCTAGCACTTCTTGAATTTACTGTGCTTACAAATCACCTGGGAGTGTTTGTTAAATGTGGATTCTGATTCAGTAAGTCTGGGGTGGCATCTGGGATTCCGCATTTCTAAAAAGCTCCCAGGTGCTACTGACGTAGCTATTTTGAAACCCGACTTTTTTTTTTTTTTTTTTTTTTAAGACAGAGTCTCACTCTATTGTCCAGGCTGGAATGCAGTGTCATGATCTCGGCTCACTGAAACCTCCGCCTCCCCGGTTCAAGCGATTATCCTGCCTCAGCCCCCCAAGTAGCTAGGATTACAGGTTCACACCACCACACCCAGCTAGTTTTTGTATTTTTGGTAGAGACAGAGTGTCACCATATTGGCCAGGCTGGCCTTGAACTCCTGACCTTAGGCGATCTGCCCGCCTCGGCCTCCCAAAGTGCTGGGATTACAGGCATGAACCACCATGCCCAGCCTGAAACCCAACTTTGAAGGCAGGAGTCTACCCTAAATTCCCCAAACGGTTGAGCCCTCTGTCCTCCTTGGGAATTCCTAAATTGTTATCTGCATGGCTGATGTCGTCTCATCATTCAGGCCTCAGCTCAAATGATCCTCCTCAGAGAAACCTTCCTTGGCCACCCTCCCTAAATTGACCCACTCTAATCTAGTCCCTCTCTTGCGTATTACTCAGTTTTTTCCATAGCATTTATCTCAATCTGAAAGTACCTTATTTATCTTGTGTGTTTATTGGCTCCTCCCACTATAATGTAAGCTCCTTGAAGTATGCTGTGTTTACCCCCTCTCTCCTGCCCCTCTAATAGTGTCTGGTTCACAGTATGGACTCAATGAATTTCACATTAGTGAACTTGTACAGAAGAAGCTATTACAAGGAGCCTTCAAACTGAGTGTCCCTGATACTAAAGACTTGTTCTTCCAAGGTGTACCAAATATTTCTACATAGTATGCCATATTTCACAGAAAGAGGTTGCAGGTTTAATCATTTCCTCATGTACTCTCAGTAAGTTCGCAAGCCAGGAAAGATGCCTTACTAAACAGTGGTGGGGTTTTGTATCTCTGAACTATCTCTCCATTGACTTATATATCTTCCCAACTGATTTACACAGGTTCTATATAATACCTAAAAATATAACAAGAATAAATCCCATTTTACAGAGAGTTCCTGGCAATGCCAAAGCAAAGAAAAAACAAAATTAACACAGTTAAAAGAGCATAAATTTCTCTTGAAGCTCACACTGTCTAACCTGTCCACTTTGATAATAGAAGCACTGGAACAAGTATATCCCAGTGTTCCTTCACAGCAGTGGACATTGTATTGCATTTGTGATAGAAATAGTGTCCTGATCATGCTTTGAGAGCTTCCACTCTCAGCTCCTTGCTTGGTGTGAAGCCAGCTCTACCACAGCCCCAATTCCATGGCCTCAGCGTGGAATCCAGACCTGACTCTCCTGATGTATCCTATCCACGGGCAACGGTGACTACTTCCAGACTACTCTGCTGGAACTAGGGTCTTGTTTGACTGGAATATTTGTCTCCCTTAAATGGAATCTGGAAGGATATACCTGTCAGCCATCTTGTCACCACAAAGAAAGAACCTTTAGAATGGAACTGGAACAACGGGAAGTAAACAGAGATGAAGAAAAACAGTGTCTTAGTGACACTAGTTGAACTGCTGAATCCGGCAATGTAGACTTTTCAATCCTGTAGGCCAATAAAGCCTGGCACAGTGGAGGTTTCTGTCACTTGCATCCAGAAGAGTTCTAATTGCCACACCACCCATGAGCTGATGATCCCTGGCCAATTCCCTGACAAATGTCTATTGAGAGTTTACTGTGTTCCAGGCATTAGTCATGGTCCTGGGGTTATAGGTGAAGAAGAGGTTACTGTCTTTAAGAAACTCACAGTCAATTGAAGGCAGGCAAACCAGGAAGAAATCAAATGTGTAGGTGCCTTTAAAGAGGCCAATGGAGGGTGTTATGGGGAACAGAGAGGAGTATTTCTCCTAGTTAAAGGATGAAAGTTTAGGAAAGACATCCAAGAGGATGAGACAGATAAGCTGGGTCTTGGAAGACAATCAGGCAGATAAAGAACAGTGGGGTAGTGCAGGAGACTAGGGTGTGTGTGCACAGATAATAGAATGACCTTTCTAGAAAAGGGAAGAGCAAATTCAAAGACACGGCGGTATCAGAAATACAACACACATAAGAAACTGGGTGGGAGATGAAGCTGAGGGCAGGGAGTGGCAGCCAGGTCACGAATGGCCTGGTACGCAGCCCTGGTAAGGAGTGTGTCCCTTATTCTGAAAGGCAAAGAGGAAACCTCAAAATGTGTGAAGAAATAGAACAACAGTGAGAGCAGATTTTCATCTTGTAATAGAAAGATCACCTTACCACCATATGTCGAGGCTGGATTTAAGTTGGGGATGAGGATGGAAGAGAACAAGGGAATCTTTAAGAGAAATCTTCCTCCAGGCAGAAGGTTTTGCAGTCTAGAGCTGAATTTTTATTTCTTGGGGGCAGAGGGAATCTTGCCTCCCTGATGTCAAGCCCAATGTTATCCAATATATATGAGCCATATGTATGCTTTAGAATTTTCCAGTAGTCACATTTAAAAAGTAAAAAAGAAGCAGGTGAAATTTGTTAATGGGGTATTTTTACATTCTATCTATTGTGCTAAGTCTTCAAAATAATCCAGTGTGTATTTACACTTACAGCACATTTCAATTCAGTCTAGTCACATTTCAAGTGCTCAAAAGCCATGTGTGGCTGATGGCTAGTGTACTGGACAGCAAAGGTGAGGTTGATTGCTTCTGATACAGAGCCTCTATCTAGGAATTCCTTCCAAACCTCAATATGTTCCTAAAGCCAAAATTCCTGCACCATACCTCTTCACTTGCATTATCTCATTTATTCATCACAACAACCCTAGGCTGGCACTATTATCCTCCTTTTACAAGTAACAAGTAATCTCTTTTACAGAGATTAAGTAATTTGCTCCAAGTCACATAGCTACTGATTGGCACCGCTTATCGTTCAAGAGATGAAAACTAAGGGAAAGTTGCCAAATCCAAGTTAGAATAGTACTTGAATACAATTTCCCTCATTAGGGCTCTCTCACCTCCTCTTCCTCCTCCCCTCTGTACTTGGAACTATGAACCTATCTAGTCAGCCTAGCTACAGAGTAGGTGCTCAGTAGAGAGCTGATTAAGCAACCAGTTCCTTGTTGAGAATACATCTCAGGAATTCTACAGGCGCAAACTAAGCAGAGATATGGCTTAAGGTTATATGCTGGATTGTGGGTAAATGCACAGTAAATGGCATTTATCATTACGATTATTACCAGGTCAGATACTATTAACATTTTAGGGACCTTGCTGCATATTCATTGCAAGCAGTCTTCCAAAACAGTTGTGCTGATTTATAATTTACATCCCTGTCGTCAGGGCATCAGAGTGCCTAACCTCTCTAATTTAAGTTCTTCTTGCATGAAACAGAAGGAGTTTAGAAGTGGTCAGAACTGGCCGGGCGCAGTGGCTCACGCCTGTAATCCCAGCACTTTGGGAGGCCCAAGCGAGCAGATCACAAGGTCAAGAGATCAAGACCGTCCTGGCTAACATGGTGAAACCCCATCTCTACTAAAAATACAAACAATTAGCTGGGCGTGGTGGCACACGCCTATAGTCGCAGCTACTCGGGAGGCTGAGGCAGGAGAATTGCTTGAACCCAGGAGGCGGAGGTTGCAATGAGCTGAGATCACACCACTCCAGCCTGGGCTACAGAGTGAGACTCTGTCTCAAAAGGAAAAAAGAAAAAAGAAGAGTTCAGAGCTAAGTTTGGATCATGGATGCTCAAATTCTTTGTCTGTAAAGGGATCACTCCCACCCAATAGCCACATTATAACAAATATAACCCTGAGCACATTGTCTGGCACAATGCAAGTTGCTCTGTCCACTTTACATCCCTCCTCCACTTCCCCCTTGAGAGACAATAAGATAAAATGAAGTCTAGGAGTAGATCTGATTATGCAGAAAAATTGATAATTGACAAATGCAGGGAAACATGCACCTTGCCAAAATTGTCATAGAGAATTTTCAACAAAAAGTGCATATTATCATGTACTGACTTCCTCAATACTTGCAGCAGCCACCCAGTCTCCTGCCCCCAGAGGCTCCCCAGCCTTTAATTAATAAATGCCAGATGTACTGCTTATTGATAGAACAATTTATTTCATTTCTGAAACCCTTGCTTTTCTCCATAACGACCTTCCCAGCAAAAGGTTTGCTTGAAGGCTGCTCATGAGACCAAATTGAGCTTCTTAAGTCATTATGTTTCCAGTGGTAGAAGGGTGAGGGATGCTGGGTTGATAGGGGGGAAGGAATCACAAATGCCTCAGGATTAAGGGACCACCCTGGCCCCAAACAAAGTTATTGCCATATTTTTTAGCCTGGAGTCAGGGGATTTAATTTTAGGGGCACGAAAGGGTCCAGAGATTCTCTCTCAATAACTGCACGAAAGGGTCCAGAGATTCTCTCTCAATAACTGCAAAATAAAACTAGAGTCACTTTTCAGGGTACCGTTATTTTGATTTGGTTAGGTTTCATTTGGTATTGACTTTATATGCGCATTCCAGTTTGGAGAAGATGGGGGCTGTTTTTCTGCCTCCAGAAAGATTTATGGGCGAGCTCAAGTACTGCACATTTCCTCCTATTGCTTTTCTCTTTATGCCCAACCTTTTCCAGTTTATTCAGCTGCTCTCATAATTATCCCCAATTATTTATAATGGTAGGTTTCTGAAGCTGGAGTTAGAGAAACACTATGTTGTTGAGCCCCAAACGCTATTTAATGGAAATGGACTCCAACAACTCATGTGAGGCCTAAGCTCAGGCTTTCTTGGGAAGAACTTGTTAAAAAATTTTCTTCACTACTAATAGAATTTTTTTCCAAAACTATATTGCATTTTCTATATTAAAGGAAAGAAGTCCTTATTTGTGTACAACTATTACAAATAACGGCCGTCTTGGCACAGCTGAAATCAGTTTTTCTTAAAGTGCTTCTCTTGGAGCATTAATTCCTTAGAAAAACCATTGTCTGTTTAAATGAATATAAGAAATGCTTTATTTTATATTTCTCTCCTCATGAAGATTAACTGTGCATAGTAGCATTACATATTAAGGCCTTGAGAAGTCCTGCATTTGAAAAACCCCAACTGTTTGGCTTTGCTTAATCCTATATTACTCAAACTTATTTGACCATGACACAAACTGCCCTTGGAAAACACATTAATATATCATATCCCATTAAGGGCACATTTTTGAGAAACACTGCCTGAACCCATTCAACCTATCTTCCAGAAAGAACAGGGTAGGTATTACTGACTCTGAAGCACCGTTTACCATTTACCCACTGTTAATGGAATAAATGTGTATATCCTCTCCAAAACTCATATGTTGAAGCCCTAATCCCCAATGTGGTGATATGAGGAGGTAGGAACTTTGGGAAATAATTAAGTTTAGATGAAGTCATCAAGGTGGAGCTCCCATGATGGGATTGGTGCCCTCATAGGAAGAGGAAGAAACACCAGGCTGGGCATGGTGGTTCACGCCTATAATCCCAGCAATTTGGGAGGCCGAGGCAAGCGGATCACTTAAGCTCAGGAGTTCGAGACCAGCCTGACCAACATGGTGAAACCCTGTCTCTACTAAAAATACAAAAATTAGCTGGGTGTGGTGGTGCACACCTGTAATCCCAGCTACTGGGGAGGCTGAGGCAGGAGAATCTCTTGAACCCGGGAGGTGGAGGTTGCAATGAGCCAAGATTGCACCACTGCACTCCAGCCTGGGCAACAGAGCAAGACTCTGTCTCAAAAAACAAAAAAGGAAACACCAGAGGCTCCTCTCTCTGCTAGGTAAGAAAACAAAGAAAGGGTGGCCATCCGCAAGTAAGGAAGCAGGCCCTCACCAAGGAGTGAATCTGCCAGCATCTTGATCTTAGACTTTTCAGCCTCCAGAATGGGAAATAAATGTCTGTTGTTTAACCCACCCGGTCTATGGTATTTTGTACTAGCAGCTTGAGCTAAGACACCCACACTATCATTTGTTTCAAAAGGGACACCTAGTCCAAACCAAGAGGTGATCTCTTAGTTCAGAAAGGAAAATAGGCCGGGCGCAGTGGCTCACGCCTGTAATCCCAGGACTCTGGGAAGCCGAGGCGGGCGGATCACGAGGTCAGGAGATCGAGACCATCCTGGCGAACACGGTGAAACCCCGTCTCTACTAAAAACACAAAAAAATTAGCCGGGCATGGTGGTGTGTGCCTGTAGTCCCAGCTACTCGGGAGGCTGAGGCAGGAGAATGGCGTGAACCTGGTAGGCGGAGTTTGCGGTGAGCCGAGATCGCGCCACTGCACTCCAGCCTGGGCGACAGAGCAAGGCTCCGTCTCAAAAAAGAAAGAAAGAGAGAAAGAGAGAAAGAGAGAAAGAAAGAAAGAAAGACAGAAAGAAAGAAAGAAAGAAAGAAAGAAAGAAAGAAGGAAGGAAGGAAGGAAGGAAGGAAGGAAGGAAGGAAGGAAGGAAGGAAGGAAGGAGAGAGCCGAGCACGTTGATGCACGCCTGTAATCCCAGCACTTTGGGAGACTGATGGGGGTGGATACCTGAGGTCAGCAGTTCACGACCAGCCTAACATGCTGAAACTCCGTCTCTACTAAATACAAAAATATTAGCGGAGTGTGGTGGCGCATGCCTGTAATCTGAGCTACTTCGGAGGCTGAGACAGGAGAATCGCTTGTACCTGGGAGGAGGAGGTTGCAGTTAGCTGAGATCGCGCCCATTGCACTCCAGCGTAGGCAACAAGAGCGAAACTCCGTCTCAAAAAAAAAAAAAAAAAAAAGAAAAAAGAAAAAGAAAAACGAAAGAAAATAGATGCTTCCTAAATCTCATCCGCAGCTTGATCAGATCACTCCTACTAGGTCTCACACTCTATTCCCTCTCACTACAAGCACCTCTTCACCTGAATTGCCTGCTGGACCACAAACTTGGCTCCAAAAGTGAGAAATCCTTCTCTCCCTCATCTGCTCTATTTTCCGCTTTCCTTCTCCCTCAATCCCATCCAGTCATTTCCAGCATGCCGCCTTTTCATTCTGCCGCAATCTCTTTTACAAATTAAGGTAAAGTTTCCCATTCCTACTTCTCTTGGGCTCATTCACCAGCTTTTGTCCCTAGGATTGCAATATTCTTCTAACTGGTTTTCCTGCGTCTAATAACTCCCAACTAGTCCATGGTCCTCTCTGTAACAGAATGATTTTCCTAAAAGTACAGCCCTGACTTTTCACTTTCCTGCTCAAAAGACTTAAATGGCTCCCTTTTGCTTACAGAATAATGCTAAACACTTTAGCAGAGAATTCAAAAGTAATTGACTTCCAGTGTCAACTCACATAAAAACTACATTAAACTTCTTCTCTATCTAAACCTAACTCCCCACTCAAAGCCTTGAACTTCTTGTATGTAAACAGACCTACATTACTGAGGACACTAGAACTGAGTGCCTAAAATCTCTTTAACCTATCTTCCCCGGGAAGTAGTTCATGATCTAACTAAACTCCCGGCTAAACATCATTTATTTCAGTCCCCGCCAGAATTTATAATTTAAGCTTTATAAATTTATAATTTTATAATTTATAATTTAAGCTTTCTGGTTTATATCTCTAGTCCTTATAGTCTGCCTTCAAACTTATTCAAATCTCTCTTATCTTAAAAAATGCCTAAAATCCTTGACCCAAGTACATTCTTAAGACACTGTCCCATCTCTCTTCTTGCCTTTGCCATCATACTTTTTAGCCTACTGATTCCACCTCCTCATCACTTGCCCTCTTTTCTTAAAATCAATCTTATTAAGGTAAAATATACAGTCAACAATATTCCAATTTTAAGTGTACAATTCAATGAGTGTGACAAATGTGTAAGCACTCCAATAACTAAGAAATAGAACATTTCTGAGGTCTCCGCAAGTTTTTATATGGCCCTGCCCACAATTCCCACCCCTACCTCCGTGACCCTAGGCTATGCTAATTTTCTTTTTCTTTCTTTCCTTCTTTCTTTCTCTCTCTCTCTATGTAGAGATATCTATCTATCTATCATCTATCTATCTATTTCTGTCTTTTTGTGTGTGGGGGTGGGGGGACGGAGTCTCGCTCTGTTGCCCAGGCTGGAGTGCAGTGGCACAATCTCGGTTCACTGCAGCCTCCGCCTCCTAGGTTCAAATGATTCTCCTGTCTCAGCCTCCAAGTAGCTGGGATTACAGACATGCACCACTATACTCAGTTAATTTTTTATTTTTAGGAGAGACGAGGTTTCGCCATGTTGGCCAGGCCGGTCTCCAACTCCTGACCTCAGGTGATCCGCCAGCCTCGGCCCCCCAAAGTGCTGGGATTACAGGCATGACCCACCATGCCCGGCATTATTTCTGTCTTTTTTGGGACAGGGTCTCATTCTGTTGCCCAGACTGGGTGCAGTGGCATGATCATAGCTCACTGCAGCCTTGACCTCCCACGCTCAAGTGATCTCTACCTCAGCCTCTTGAGTAGCTGGGATGACAGGCATGCGCCACCATGGCCAGCTAGTTTTTTTTTTTTTTTTTAATTTTTTATAGAGACAGGGTCTACCTATGTTGCCCAGGCTGGCCTTGAACTCCTGGGCTCAAGTGATCCTCCCGCCTCGGCCTCCAAAGTGCTGTAATTACAGGCATGAGCCATCATGCCCGGTCTGATTTGCTTTCTATCATTATAGATAAAATTTGTCTCAGAGTTTGTTTAAATGGAATTGTAGAGTATGTGCCTTTGGAAAGTATATTATTTATAGCTGTATAAGACATTACCCTCCTAATTTAGTTTAAAACTGCAAACATTTATTATCTTGCAAAGTTTCTGAGAGTTAGGACTCTGTAAGCTACTTACATTGGTGGTTCTGGCTCAAGGTATCTCCATGAAATTGCAGTGAAGCTGTCAGTAAATCTGCATTCTCTGGACTGAAACTGGAGGATTCACTTCCAAGCTTACTCACCTGGCTGTTGTCAGGAAGTTTCCATTTCTTGCTATTTGGGCCTTTCCTTAGGACTGCTCACAACGTGGCTGCTCACAGACTGAGTGATGAGAGAGAGAGAGAGAGAGACCGAGAGAGAGAGCAGAAGCAACACTATATTTATGACATAGTCTTTAAGTTGTATACCAACCCTTCTGCCTTATTCTTTTCATTAGAAGCAAGTCACTAAGCTCAGCCCACATTTAAGAGGGGATTACACAAAGGACTGAATTCTAAGAGGTGGGGCGCATCGGGGTCTATCGCGGAGGCTAACTATAACAATCTAGTCTCTGGCCCTTCATTGATTCATGTTCTTCCCACATGCAAAAAGTACTCGCCACCTCCCAAGACCCTCAAAAATCTCAGCCCATTATAATATCAGCCCGAAGTCCAGAATCTCATAACCAAAATGAGGTCCAGCTGTAGATATAGCCCTTACATAAAGTTCTTCTTAATCATTAAGCTTTTGAAGTCTGCGAAATAGGCAAGTATTGTGCCCCCTACACACACACACACACACACACACACACACACACATACATACACATACACTCAATGTACAATGGGGAAACAGGCAAAAGATAATCACTATAGACATTCCTGTTCAAAAAGGGAGGAAATGGGGAATATAAAGGCATCATTGCTGTGGACCAGCCATGGTGGTCCATAGCAATTCTGAATCTATCCTGAGAACTGTTGTGAGTTCCTTGATTAGGAGTCAGTCCTAGTTCTTCCCAGGAGTGATTCTCATAGCTCTTGGTTCCCTCTTCTGAGTTATCTTTCCTTTTTAATGACAGGTAGTGTGTGTTTGCAATAGAGTAGTTTTCTCAGCCAGCTTCTTTCTTGTTGAATTTGAGAATCCAAAGCCCTCTTTTCATTTTGTACTGTCTCTGCCTCTTTCAATCTAAGATTATGATGTTTCTGCTCATGTAATTATTTTAAATATGTAGTGGATTTCTTATGAATCTTAATGGGGGTCCATGTTGTTAAATTAAAGTCATACTTGCAAGTCTCTTTGATATAAGCACTCATCTACTTTGGGTTTCTGCTGATAGGCAACAATTTTTTTTTTCTTTTGGGACTGGGTCTCACTCTGTCACTCAGGCTGGAGTGCAGTGGCACAATCACGGTTCACTGCAGGTTCAACCTCCTGAGTTCAAGCCATCCCCTTACCTCAGCTTCCTGAGTTGCTAGGACTACAAATAGGCACTACTACACCCAGCTAATTTTTAAAATTTTTGTAGACAAGTTCTTGCTATGTTGCCCAGGCTGGTCTCAAACTCCTGGGCTCAAGTGATCCTCCCGCCTTGGCCTCCCAAACTGCTGGGATTAAAGGTGTGAGCCAGCACGGCCCAGCGGAGACAACACTCTTAAGCTTTTTAGAAGCCCTATTCTTTGATCAAGAGGATCTGTTCACCACACCCTTACAATCTTAAGAGGCTTTTTGTTGGACTAAAGGGTACTGTAAGGCTCCACTTTTAAGCTTTCTGAAGTTTTAACCGTGGATTTATAGATACACCCTTGGCTTTGTCTTTGGACCATGTTTCCCTAGCAGTATCCTGGATTTGATCTTTCCTCAGAAGCCACTAAATTTTTTTTTTTCTTTTCGAAACATGTTTTGTTGCTCAGGCTGGAGTGCAGTGGCACAATCTTGGCTCACTGCAACCTCCACCTCCCAGGTTCAGGTAATCCTCCCACCTCAGCCTCCCAAGTAGCTGGGAGTACAGGTGCATGCCACCACACCTGGCTTTTTTTTTTTGGTAGAAACAGGATTTCACCATGTTGACCAGGCTGGTCTCGAACTCCTGAGTTCAAGCAATCTGCCCATTTCAGCCTCCCAAAGTGCTGGGATTAGAGGCGTGAGCCACAGTGCCTACCCCAAAAATTTTAATGTCATTTGCCGTCTAGAGAGTCTAGGAATCCTTTTCTTTTTTTTGAAACTCAGTCTCACTCTATCGCCCAGGCTGAAGTGCAGTGGTGAAATCTCGGCTCACTGCAACCTCCACCTCCTGGGTTCAAATGATTCACGTGCCTCAGCCTCCCGATTAGCTGGGATTGCAGATACCCACCACCACGCCCGGCTAACTTTTGTATTTTTAGTAGATACAGGGTTTCACCATGTTGGCCAGGCTGGTCTTGAACTCCTGACCTCAAGTGATCCACCCGCCTCAGCCTCCCAAAGTGTTGGGATTACAGGCGTGAGCCACCGTGCCCGGCTGAGTCTAGGGATCTTCAAAGCCATCTCCTTTTTGTTTAACAATCTTTCCATTAGTTAATTCCTTTCTCTTGTCCTTTTCCATAAGAAGCAAAAAGAGACCAGGTGGCATCTGGAGTGATGAACATATGATCGAAGTCGAGCTAATAAAAGACAACCCTGAGACTTTTGATAAAAGTATTGGAAAACACAAACTCTCATTCCACTGGGAGTAGAGAGCTGGTAGAATGGCGGCCTGAAGTTCCAATGGTCATCTTGTCACTATGAGGGAAGAGCTTTCCGAGAAAGAAACCAAGACAGAGGGAAGCAGAGCTAAGACAGGGTGATGGGGAAAGACTAGAAATCTCCTTAACTTGATCTCTCAGTTCCTTAGGGACATTTTCTACCACCCACATTACGGTAGGCAACAACAATGCTAAAATTTCTGCTACTGCATTAAAAATCCCCTTTTATCTAATTTCCCATAAGATTGTCATCATTTTTCCCTTAACGGAAAAGTGGTTGTCCTCACTGACAGCCTCCTTGAAGTCCACAGTTCTACTAATAGTGTGTTCAAGACGCTTTACGCTTTCACTATCACTCTCTTCAAAATCCTCACAGCTTTTCCAGCTTCTACTTACTTACTGGTTCCAAAGCAATTCCAACATTTAGATTTTTTCTGCATCAGCACCCACCCTTGGTACAAAAATCTGCATTACTTATGTACTGCTGTGTAATACATTTCCAGCAAATTTACCAGCTTAGACTCAAACAAACATTTGTTATTTCACACTGTTGCTGAGAACCAGATATCAGGAATGGCTTAGTGGTGTGGTTCTGGCTCAGGGTCTCTCATGAGGAAGCAGTGAAACTGTCAGTAAAGTTCTAGTCCCCACCAGAACTGGAATTGGAAGATCTACTTCCAAGCTTATTCCCTTAACTAAAGGAACCTTCGGTTTCTCACCTCATGAGCCATTTCACAGCGCTGATTATAACATGGTTTCTGCCAGAGTGAGTGATCTGAGAGAAAGAAGCCAGAGAAACAGAGAAATAAGAGTAGAAGCCACACTGTATTTATGATCTAGTTTCCAGGTCACATACCATCACTTCTGCCTTACTCTATTCATTAGAAGGAAGTCACGGCCGGGCGCAGTGGCTCACACCTGTAATCCTAGCACTTTGGGAGGCCGAGGCGGGCGGATCACGAGGTCAGGAGATCGAGACCATCCTGGCTAACATGGTGAAACCCCGTCTCGACAAAAATACAAAAAATTAGCTGGGCATGGTGGTGGGCACCTGTAGTCCCAGCTGGTCAGGAGGCTGAGGCAGGAGAATGGCATGAACCCGGGAGGCAGAGCTTGCAGTGAGCCGAGATCGCACCACTGCACTCCAGCCTGGGTGACAGAGTGAGACTCTGTCTCAAAAAAAAAAAAGAAGGAAGTCACTAAGTCCAGTCCACACTCAAGGGGAGAGGATGAAATAAAGACATGAATACCAGGAAGCGGATCTCACCAGGACCATCGTGGAGTCTGGCCACCACAGCAAATTACTAAGCCTCTCCTGTGTGTCTGTTAGTGTCCTTACCTGTAAAATAGAAATAATAAAAGTATTTAACTGACATGGCTGCTGTGAGGTGGAATGAGAGAATACATATAAAGCTCTTTAGAACAATATCTGGCACAAAGCAAAAAATATAATAAATATTGCCCCTTATTATTGTTTTAACCATGTGAATGACTCTCAGATATTTATCTCAGTGCTCAGGGCACTCGATATAGTGTTCAAAGCACTAATTCTACTTTTTTGACTGCCTCGATGACTTCCAGTAACTTAAATATGTATGTCCCAAACCAACATCTTTGTATTCATTAAGACTCTTTTAGTCCATTGGCTCAAGAAAAAAACCAAAAGGGAAATTTAAGTCCAGAGAAAGATTTCAAGCAAGTCTGGTTCCAGATGACCCAATGATGCCGTTAGGAATCTGTCTCTCCCCAACACCTTCTTCATCTTTCCCCATTGCCTTCTCCTGGTTGTGCTCTCCTCTATCTTGGTTTCTTTCTCAGAAACCTTCTCTCTCATAGTGACAAGATGATCATCAGAAGCTTCGATTCCCCATTTTATCAACTCCCTACCCCAAAATGAAATGAGAGTTTCTGTATCTTTTATCAAAAGTCTACTACTGGCTGGGCATGGTGGCTCATTCCTGTAATCTCAGCACTTTGGGAGGCCGAGGCGAGTAGATCACTTGAGGCTGGGAGTTTGAGACCAGCCTGGCCAACATGGCACAACCCCGTCTCTACAAAAAGTACAAAAATTAGCTGGGTGCGGTGGTGTTTGCCTGTAATCCCAGCTACTTAGGAGGCTGAGGCAGGAGAATTGCTTGAACCCAGGAGGCAGAGGTTGCGGTGAGCTGAGATGGCGCCACTGTACTCCAGCCTGGGCAACAGAGCGAGACGCCATCTCTAAACAAAACAAAGTCTATTACCAATATTACTGTAGGCAGCAATTGTACTAAACTTTCTACTACTGCATCAAAAGTCTCAGGGCTGTCTTTCATTGGCCCAGCTTTGATCATATATCCATCCGTACGTCACTATAGCACTGTAGGGAGGTCATTGAAGAAGTGTTGGTTCCTTGGCCGGGTGCAGTGGCTCATGCCTGTAATCCCAGCACTTTGGGAGGCTGAGGCAAGCGAACTGCTTGAGGTCAGGAGTTTGAGACTGGCCTGGCTAACATGGTGAAACCCCGTCTCTACTAAAAATAAAAAAATTAGCCAGGCATGGTGGTACATGCCTGTAGTCTCAGCTATTTGGGAGGCTGAGGCAGGAGAATCGCTTGAACCTGGGAGGTGGAGGTTGCAGTGAGCCAAGATTGAGCCACCGCACTTCAGCCTGGGCAACAGAGTGAGACTCTGTCTCAAAATAAAAAGATAAAAATAAAAAAAAAGGTTTCCCCATAATCTTTATCATTCCCCTATCCTTCAGTGATTTCCTAATTTTACATAAATTAATATGCAGACTTAGCTTAAATTTCTATCCTCCCACTATTATACTTGAATTAATAAGCAATTCTATATAAAAATTATAGAGCCATGCCTGAGGGCCTAAGATGAGTTAGGCCCAGGTCATGTGTTCACCCACTGAGCCAAAGAGAGTGTCATTTACACCTGAACTACGTGAACTGAGAATGTGGCGAAGGCCCTTTGCTTAGAAGAAAATTGACATACTGTGGCCAGAAGCAAGTAGGATTGATGCCAGGCAAGCAAAACCAACAGATGCCCTTCTTAATCACCTTCCTTCCCAAATCCATTCCTTTTCCTATGTTCCATCCTTCAGTAAAGGGTCACCTCTTGGGCTGACAACCTCTGACACCTAAATCTGCCCTGCCCCAAGTATCCAGACTGATGCCATGTTCTTCTGACTCTACAGCTCTATGTGCCCAGAATGTGTTCTCTGGTTTCCTTCTGTCCTGCCCCTATTCATATGTTTCCCTCTACCTAGAAGATCCATCCACAGCATCTCTGCCTGGCAAATTCCACAAACCTTAAAGGCTGGCTCAAGAACACCACCTCCATGAAGCCCATTATTGATTTATTGAGAAGAGTCCAATCAGTCACCAACTTATAGGAATATAGTGCTGAGTCCCACTTTTATTTGGGAGCTGCTCTCACAGTTAAGTAGAGCTCTACATCAAGACGCCTGGAAACAGAGACAGGATAGAAGCTGGTCCTTCACCTCTCTCCTCTACTTCTTTATCCTCACATTCACTTCCTTTCACACAAAGCAAGCACTTTGCAAATGCCAAAACTGCCTAAATGCAGAAACTCATTCAGTCCGAGAAAAGCACTGGGAGAATGTTTTTAACATCTCACATCTTGTGTCTCAATTTGTGAAACCTTATTGAAGTTTATGAAAGAGCTACTTAATTTTGTTTTCTTTCCCTTTTTGGCTTTGATTCAGATTTGATGGGTCTCCATCACATCAGCTTGAAGATGCCTTCTGCTAATGCACTTAAGTCTTGACCCACAGACCCCGGTGGGTGGATAATTCCCAGCTGGGCTATGATAGAGCTCCACGTTGGGAGGACTTGGCCTCAGCATACCTTAGGGACAAAGCTTGTGACACAAGACACTCTTTAACTGGGGTAATTTTAGCTGGTCTCCTGAAGTGCATATCAGGTCTCTTTGGAAATCTGCTTCACTTCTCTTTGTTTTTTCTTCTAAGGATCCCCATCTTTCCCCTTTCTTTCTTCCTTCTCTATTTCTTTCTTTCTTCCCTCTCTTTCTTTCTTCCTTCTCTTTCTTTCTCTTTCTCTTTTCTTTTCTTTCTTTCTCTCTCTCTTTCTTTCTTTCTTTCTCTCCTTCCTTCCTTCTTTCTTTCTTTCCTTTTTTGGCAGAGTCTCGCTGCAACACCGAGGCTGGAGTGCAGTGGTGCAATCTCAGCTCACTGCAACCTCCAGTTCCCGGGTTCAAGCGATTCTCCTGCCTCAGCCTCCTGAGTAGCTGGGACTGCAGGTGCATACCACCACGCCCGACTAAATTTTGTATTTTTAGTAGAAACAGGGTTTCGTCTTGCTGGCCAGGCTGGTCTCGAACTCCTGACATCAAGTGATCCGCCTGCCTCGGCCTCCGAAAGTGCTGGGATTACAAGTGTGTGCCACCACGCCTCGCGCCTCTTTTCATTTTTAAGTACACCACTACCTTCTGGTTTTCTTCTGTAGGTATTCAGCAATAGGAAGATGGCAGTCATAACACACACACACACACACACACACACACACACACACACACACACACACAGACTGATTTAAAAAGCGAGCCTAAACCTAACTTCAAGCAGGGTTGCCAAGTCAGAGAGGAAAAATAGCTTTTATTTTGGGCCCTTGGCCTGTCTGTGCTGACAGTTACATACATTCCAGCTTGTCACTTGCCTCTGACTTACTTTCCCAAATACTTCCATTGAGTTATGCCACTTATCACCTGCTTAGTATGTGACACTTCATCGGCCAAGACAAATGTCACATTAGGAAAGTTGTCCAGCGAATGAAGGCAATAAAGGACTGCAACACAAAAAGTTTGGGCTTTTTCTTTTAATCCACTTTCCAGTTCTGCTTTCCAGATCTTGCCTGTGGTTGGGGCTGGTTGGATTTTTTAGTATGAGTGAGAGTGTTGTATTTAGGTTACAGAGACAGATCTTCCAATAAATGGAGAAACTGGTTAAGACAAACTGCCCTTGAAACTCAAAAACCCTGACAGTAAATTTGACCAAAAGTAGTGACAGTGCTGAAAAACAAATGTTCACAAATATTACAGAGCTACCAAAAATGAGGTCACTGGATTTTCAGGGGACTTCTGTAGACTTCTCACAATCATGTATATATATTTTTTTCATGAAGTGAACTAAGTTTTTTTGAAAGTGAGAAGCTGACAGCTTTGGTTAGAGCCAGAAATAGAAGGCAAGCACTGGTGTGCCTTAACGGCGAGACTTCGTGGTCATTACCTGCTTCTGCTAATAAATTTCGAGGTTAGGTTACAGCCTTTCTCACTTCTGAGGGGCTTCTCAGAACCTGTTTTTCAAAGTGAAGATCACTGTCTCCAGATTTGGTAAAAATACCATAGCTCCTGTTCGTAGCATGAGTACCATTGATTTGGCTCTGCAGGTAAAAGAAGAGCAAATCAGTAAGTCTCAGTGTCAATATTCCTATTCAAGTCCAACCTTCCCCACTCCCTACAGCAAATAAAACCCAAATTCCACCTAACACGAGGTACTTGGACAATTTTAATTTTTGAAGATGTTACTTTTTCTTTACATGGAAGGAAAGGAAGTTGGGTATTATCATGAGTTCATAAAAATAAGTCAAATCTGTGGACACAAATTTTCATGGCAATTTTAAAAAGCAAATCTGGGCCAGGCATGGTGGCTCATGCCTGGAGTGTCATCACTTTGGGAGGCCAAGGTGGGAGGATCACTTGGGCCCCAGAGTTTGAGACCAGCCTAGGCAACATTGTGAGATCCCCATCTCTACAAAAAATTAAAAAAATTAGCGGGGCATGGTGGCACATGCCTGTAGTCCTAGCTACTCAGGAGGCTGAGGTGGGAGAATTGCTTGAACCCAAGAGTTCAAGGCTGCAGTGAGCTATGATCATGCCACTGCACTCTACCTGGGCAACAGAGCAAGACCCTGTCTCTAAGCAAATAAATAAATAAAATTAGAAAAGCAAATCTGGGCCGGGCACGGTGGCTCATGCCTGTAATCCTTGCACTTTGGGAGGCCGAGGTGGGTGGATGGCCTGAGCTAGGAGTTCCCGTCTCTACTAAAATACAAAAAATTAGCCAGGCATGGTGGTGGGTGCCTGTAGTCTCAGCTACTCAGGAGGCTGAGGTGGGAGAAATGCTTGAACCTGGGAGGCGGAGGTTGCAGTGAGCCGAGATTGCTCCACTGCACTCCAACGTGGGCGACAGAGCGAGACTCCGTCTTAAAAAAAAAAAAAAAAGCAAATCTGATCATGTTACCCTGCTGCTTGGAATCCTTCAAAGATTCTCCATATATGTCATGTTTAAACCCAAATCACATAGCTTAGCCACCCAGACCCTTTGTGATCTGACCCCTGTCCAACTCTCCAGCCTCTGTTTCAGCCCTGTCTTCCGCAGTACAATCCCTATGGCCTGCCTGTCAGAACCAAAGGCGATTTCCCATCATGAGCCTGCGCATATGCTGTTGTCTCTGCTGGCAGAGTGATCCTCACCCTCCTTTACCGGTCTACTCCTGCTTGCCCTTTCTGGCTCCCATCTGCCCCACTTCCCACCAGGCCTTACTTCCAAACAGCAACACACACACCCCTCACACAGTTCCTGAGAATTCTATCTGGACGCTCTTCCTGAGATGTGTTCAGCACCCTGTTTTTGCCTTCATATACCTCACAACAGTCTTATTTGTCTGTGTTCCACTCTAAATGAGACCCACACCTCATTTATCTATCTCTAGCTCCTGGTTCAGTCCCTAACACAGAATAAGTACTTAATCATTTTTATTGAATAAAAGAATAATTGAATTGCCCATTTCCGTTTCTGGAATACACAGTGTCTCAGGACGCCCTTCTGTGAATTTCTGATCAATGAATCCTATGTTAGAAAGAATAGATGACTCTAGACCTCTCAAAAGGACTTTCAAATACAGAAAGAAGTTCAGGTCCGCCCAGGAGATTGGGCGACCAAGATACAATTAACCATGAGTCAAACACTGGCTTGTGCACTTTAGTATGTATTTTCTCATTTAATCTTCCTAACAACAGTTAAGTGTAAGTCTTGTTTTCTCCATCTTATAGATGAATACGCTGTTCAAAGCCCAAGCAGCAGGGAAGTCTTAGAGTTGGGGAACTCATTTCCAGATTTTTTTTTTTTTCAAGACAGTCTCACTCTGCCCCCAGGCTGGAATGCAATAGTGCAATCATGGCTCACTGCAGCCTTGATCTCCTGGGCTCAAGCAATCCTCCCACCTCAGTCTCCCCAATAGTTGGGACCACAGGAATGCAATCATGCCTAGCTAATTTTATTCTATTTTTTTTTTTTTTTTTTTTGTAGAGTTGGGGTCTCAACTATACTTTCCATGCTAGTCTTGAACTCCTGGCTTCAAGTGATCCTCCTGCCTTGGCTTCCCAAAATGCTGAGATTACAGGTATGAGCCATCATGCTCAGTTCATTTCCAGGTCTTTTTTTTTTTTTTTGAGACAAAGTCTTGCTCTGTCTCCCAGGCTGGAGTGCAGTGGTGTGATCTCAGCTCACCGCAACTTTTGCCTCCTGGGTTCAAGCAACTTTTCTGCCTCAGTCTCTCAAGTAGCTGGGATTACAGGCACCCACCACCAGGCCCAGCTAATTTTTTTGTATTTTTAGTACAGACAGGGTTTCACCATGTTGGCCTAGCTAGTCTTGAACTTCTGACCTCAAGTGATCCACCCGCCTCGGCCTCCCAAAGTGCTGGAATTACAGGTGTGAGCCACCACGCTCGGCCTTTTTCCAGGTCTTTATGATTCTAAATTCCTGTTCTCTTTTCATATAGCATGAATGCACAACTTCTTTTTCTTTCTCTAGGAGGATCTGGGTGAGGGGAACATTTCTGGTTTGTCTTTTGAAAGAAATAAATGCAGATTATTGAGACCTACAGGAGCCTAGGTCTGTCTGGGTTTGCAGTACAAGGTGATCCTGACCCTCCCCGACTACAGTATTTACTCATGAAGTTCAGATTCAGAGAAAGAGGTTGACCTAGAGAAGATGGAGCAAACCTGGACCAAGGAGACACTTTTGACAAGACTTTTCTATTTGGTTTAAGCCTCTACAAACCGATATCATTGTTTTTAGTACAGCATGCACTAATTGCATCGATATTTTATTTTTGGCTAGTTCATGTTGCAGATATTATTTAACAATATAAATAAATATGTCCCTTCATTTTGGATGCATTATACACATCTTTCCTGAGTTCTTGAATACAGTGATGAGCAGAATTGAACAGGTGCATTTCCATCTATGTGGCCTTAGGATTGTTTCTGCTAGAGTAGAATGAAGTTTGGTAGTTTGGTCAATGACCATAATACCACTCACCTATCCAGTCTGTCTCTCTCTGGCACATTAGCACTGCCCTTTTCCCCCAGGGAAGTCCACTTTAGTCCACTGGAATTTGTGAAACCAGCTGCACCTTGGCAAGCCCTGGCCTGGGATTAATTTGGCAGGGAGGTTATTCTGAGAAGTCTCTGACTCATAACTTTGGGGCTAACTCTGAGTACCAAGCCCCAGCCCTGCCCTCTTTTGATTTTTCTCTGTGCTGATTCATTCTGGGTTGGGACTTTATTGTCAGCAGTCATAATTGTATATGGGTGGAACTTGGTTTTTAAATATGGCAAGGAGCCAAGTCTAGGGCTTCTGCTAGCTTTGTTATTAATTGTGTCATTTTTTATTAACTGAAAAAAGGAAGAAAAGAAGGGATGATAGGAAGTAGAGAAAAAGGAAGTAAAAAAAAAAGAAATATCCCACTGACCCAAGCTGAAACCTATTCTCTTCCACCTTCTATATTTTCTCCAAGCCCTTGGAAAGACTTGTCCTGAATCTTGCTCACATGAGAAGAAGCCAAGTGCAGTAGAAAAAGTACAGCCGGGCACAGTGGCTAATGCTTGTAATCCTAGCACTTTGGGAGGCCAAAGTGGGCGGATCACCTGAGGTCAGGAGTTCGAGGCCAGCCTGGCCAACATGGTGAAACCCCATCTCTACTAAAAATACAAAAATTAGCCAGGCGTGGTGCTGCCTGCCTGTAATCCCAGCTACTCAGGAGGCAGAGGCAGGAGAATCACTTGAACCCAGGAGGTCGAGGTTACAGTGAGCAGAGATCATGCTCTCCAGCCTGGGTGACAGAGCGAGACTCTGTCTCAAAAAAAGAAAAAGAGAGAGGATAGATTTTGGGGTTAGCATATCTGAATAATTGTATGATCATAGGCAAGTTATTTAAACCTCTTTGAAACTCTGTTTCCCAATCTGTAAAACAGCAATAATATTTACTTTTAGGGTTGTCATGATGGTTAGAAATATTCTGTATAAATTGTCTGGTACATTAAAAAGCATTAATAACTTGAAAATATCATTGTTATAGCTATTTTTATTTTTATTTTTATTTTTATTTATTTATTTATTTTTGAGACGGAGTCTCCCACTGTCGCCCAGGAGCGCAGTGGTGCAATCTCAGCTCACTGCAAGCTCCACCTCCTGGGTTCAAGCCATTCTCCTGCCTCAGCCTCCCGAGTAGCTGGGACTACAGGCTCTCGCCACCATGCCCAGCTAATTTTTTGTATTTTTTTAGCAGAGACGGGGTTTCACCGCGTTAGCCAGGATGGTCTCGATCTCCTGACCTCATGATCTGCCTGCCTGGGCCTCCCAATATGCTGGGATTACAGCCGTGAGCCACCGCGCCCGGCCAATATCTGAATAATGGTATGATCATGGGCAAGTTATTTAAACCTCTTTGAACCTCTGTTTCCCAATCTGTAAAACAGCAATAATATTTACATTTAGGGTGTCATGATGGTTAGAAATATTCTATATAAGGTGTCTGGCACATTAAAAAGCATTAATAACTTGCAAATATTATTGTTATAGCTATTTTTATTAAGGGATCCTTTGAAACAGTGAGAATGTAGCCTCGCAGAATAGACTGAAAGTTTAAATTTCATTCCTCTGAAATTGTGGCAGAATGTTCTATGCTCCCTTTGAGTGGAGACTTGGGTATGTCTAAGTACAATGGTGGTTGGGTCTCAGGGACTGACTCTGGCTGTGAGAATACCCAAAACAGTCAGTATAGGAGAGGATCAAGCAATAAACAGAAGTCAGGTATTTGGGGAAGCAGTAGGAACTGGAGATAAAGAGCTCCCTTAGTGGCTGGCAACTCCCCATTTACTAACGGAATAATCTTGTAGAAGTTGCATAAATCACTGTGACTTGGTTCTCTTATCTGTGTCTATCTTTTGGGTTGCCATGAGGAACAGAGGAGATCACAGATGGAAAGTGTCTAGCACAAATTAAAGTGCTCAGTAAAGAATCATCTCACATGTGGAGAGACAAACTGAAATGTATGCAGTTGAAGTGTAGTTTGGCATAGACTTTGGAGTAATACTACCTTGTTCAGATCTGAGCTCCACTACTGTCTGTCTCACTTTCTCATCTGTGAAATGGATATAATCGCTTCCTTGTCTGTACTTATCACATACATGTGTTAGGAGGAAAAATTTTTTTTTTTTTTTTTTTGAGACGGAGTCTCACTCTGTCGCCCAGGCTGGAGTGCAGTGGCACAATCTCGGCTCACTGCAAGCTCCGCCTCCCGGGTTCACACCACTCTTCTGCCTCAGCCTCCTGAGCAGCTGGGACTACAGGCACCCACCACCACGCCTGCCTAAGTTTTTGTATTTTTAGTAGAGACGGGGTTTCTCCGTGTTAGCCAGGATGGTCTCGATCTCCTGACCTCGTGATCCGCCCGCCTCAGCCTCCCAAAGTGCTAGGATTACAGGTGTGAGCCACCTCGCCTGGCCTAGGAGGAATAATTTTGAGTCAATATATGTAAAGCATTTATAATGTCGTCAAGTACTATATCAATAAATATTAAATAAATACATAGAGAAGTCAGTGCTATGACAAGAACAGAAGGCAAAACTAGAAGGATAAAAAACAAAATTGAGCTGGACACAGTGAAATGTGCCTGTAATCCCAGTTACTTGGGAAGCTGAGGCAGGAGGATTAGTTGAGCCCAGAAGTTTGACACCAGCCTGGGCAACATAGTGAAATCTCATCGCTAAATAAATAAATAAATAAATAAATAAAGTTGTTGACTCTTGACTAGAGTGGGCCATGAAGAACGAAAGCAGTAGTGGCCAGGCACAGTGGCCCACACCTGTAATCTTGGGAGGCTGAGGTGGGTGGATCTCTTGAGCTCTGGAGTTCGAGACCAGCCTGGGCAACATGACGAAACCCTGTCTTTACCAAAAATACAAAAATTAGCTGGGCACGGTGGCACACACCTGTAGTCCCAGCTACTTGGGAGGCTGAGGTGGGGGGTCACTTGAGCACGTGAGGTTGAGGCTGCAGTGAGCTGAGATCATGCCAGTGCCCTCCAGCCTAGGCGACAAAGCCAGACCCTGTCTCAAAAGAAAGAAAAAGGAAAGAAGGAAGGAAGGAAGGAAGGAGGGAGGGAGGGAGGGACGGAGGGACGGAGGGAGGGAAAGGAAGGAAGGAAGGAAGGAAGGAAGGAAGGAAGGAAGGAAGGAAGGAAGGAAGGAAGGAGCAAAGTAGTAGTGAAGCAAGTGCTTCCTCCTCTTTTTTTGTTTCTTTTTAAAAATTGGCTACAGGCAGTAAGGGGTGAGGGTGTGTCAGCCTGAGTTAAAGACCAGGATGTGAGTGGACACAGTCCTTCCAAGCTGCCATGGACCCCAGGAAAACACCGTGGGATCACTGTAACAGCAAGTCCTCCTTCCTTAGCTTCCCAGACCTGGTGCCTGAGAGCGGCTCTAAGCCTTTTCTGTGGGGGTGGGCTTGGTTAGGAAAAACTCCCTCCATGGGAATGGCCACTGCTTTTAAGAGGTCCACGGCCATTTCCAAGGCCAGCTGACTGAGTAGATGGGAAACCCCGGTGACTTCTGCTTCTTCTGCTGTCTGACTTTGATGCATAAGCAGGATGTAAAGTATTCAAATTCCAGGGATAGAGCCAACTGTGCAAATTCCTGACAGGCAAATTGAGACCCATTATCCGTAATTACAGTCACCCGAATTCCATGCCAGTGAGACCCTGTTTTCCAGCAGTCAGCAATAGCAGCTGCTGCCCTTGTGCCAAAAGCATCCAGGGAAAGTCCCAGGAATGGAGATAAGCAGCCCTCACAGGGTATTCCTGACAGCTTCTGTCAAGAATACCAAATCTTCTCACTTAAAACCTGGAGATGGCTCATGTAGCTCTCAGGATTAACTCTTTGGCTGGGCTTGTCATAGTTTGGAACATCACCATCTTGAACTTCTTTTCCCCAACAACCTTCACTTAAGCCCTACTGAATTGCTTGTTTATAATGAACAACCTGATCCCTGATTCCAACCTATTGCCCCTCATTAAGGCGCTTCCTTATATGTGATTTAGTCCTTGGGCTAGGAATGACCTCATCACTAACTCCTACTCATCCTTAAAAACTCAGCTCATGTAATCCCAGCTACTCGGGAGGCTGAGGCAGGAGAATCGCTTGAACCCGGGAGGCGGAGGTTGCAGTGAGCCGAGATCGTGCCTTTGCACTCCAGCCTGGTGACAGAGCGAGATTCTGTCTCAAAAAAAAAATGAAATGAAATAAAAACCCTTAGCTCATGCCTCCTTCTCTTCTCTGAGAAGCCTTCCTTGACATCCTCAGGCTGGATTTGATTTTTTTTCTGTTGGGCTCCCATTGTGCCTGTGCTCACACAACACAACACTGTCATTCTTTGTTTGATTTGTCTCCTCTGCTAGAGTGCAAGCCCCCTGAGGGCAGGGACCACATCTTATTAGATTTTCTCAGAACCCAGCACAATATCCAGCATCACTGGGCATCTATCCAATGACTGTTAGCTCATCAATAAATGACATCTTCCCTGCTGTAGTGCTAATGAAATTGTTCTTTCACTTGGTTAGATCAGAAGATCCTCCTCAGAGATTACTGCTCAAACTTACTCTTAAAAGCAACCAGTGAAAACCCACAGAGAAAATTTCATTGGTATACTGAGTGTAAACTCAACTCACCACATGCCCTTCTATTTTTAATGCTGTTTAATCTTACAAGGTTGGGTTCCCTAGGTATATAATAAGGCACAAAGACTTAATTAACCTTGTTGATTCTGTTTTGTCATGGTGCTCTATTGAGGCCTTATTTAAATAGGATTTCGTGCTAGTCTTGTCATAGTTATTAACCAAGTCCAAAGGTTTTTATTCAATTTCTAGCCATAGCATTATTTAAAGTGTAACTATTAAGAAATGTCTTTTTTTTTTTTTTTTTTGAGACGGAATCTCACTAACTCTGTTGTCTAGGCTGGAGTGCAGTGGCATGATCTCAGCTAACTGCAACCTCCGCCTCCCGGGTTCAAGTGATCTCCTGCCTCAGCCTCCCGAGTAGCTGGGATTACAGGCAGCTGCCACCACGCCCAGCTAATTTTTGTATTTTTAGTAGAGACGGGGTTTTACCATGTTGGTCAGGCTGGTCTCGAACTCCTGACCTCAGGTGATCCACCTGCCTTGGCCTCCCAAAGTGCTGGGATTATAGGTGTAAGCCACTGCACCTGGCCAGAAATGTCTATTTTAAGTGAAAGTACAAAAACATATTTATCTAAATGACTGTTTCCCTCACCATAGACCCCTTGCAAATCTAGCCACGTGTCTTTGCTTTTTTTTTTTTTTTTTTTCCCTTGAGACGGAGACTTGCTCTGTCGCCCAGGTGGGAGTGCAGTGGCACGATCTCGGCTCACTGCAAACTCTGCCTCCTGAATTCAAGCGATTCTCCTGTCTCAGCCTCCTGAGTAGCTGGGATTACAGGTGCCTGCCACCACATCTGGCTAATTTTAGTTTTTTTAGTAGATACAGGGTTTCACCATGTTGGCCAGGCTGGTCTTGAACTCCTGACCTCAGGTGATCTGGCCACCTTGGCCTCCCAAAAGACTGGGGTTACAAGCGTAAGCCACCATGCCCAGCCTAGCCATCTCTCCTGAGATAATATTGTGGCTATTTGAAATAGTTTTGGTTCTCTACTTTTTATTTTTGCCGTCACAGAGAGTTGGTGATCCTTGTTTGAAGAGTGGTTTTGTTACTTTAAAACCCAAAACTATAGCAACAAATACTATTGCCCAATAAAATATCCACCTTATTTAACTTCTGGAAACAGTGTTGAACATGCATATCATTAGTTGGAAATCAGATATGTTAGGTAGCACACATTTTTTAATTTAAAAAGTAATAGTTACATAATTACTTTAAATGCATTAACTGTATATATATGACAAGCACGTTGAACCCATAATTTAATGCATATTGCTTACGGAAAAGCTATATTGCTTAACGAAAAACTTATTTAAGTAAAAATACAGTGAGTTAAATTGCTGAGAGATACTAAGCAGTAACCCAGGTTATGAGGATGAGATGAAGATTGTGAAGGGGGCATATAAATGACTAAGGTGTGAGAAACACCTGTGGAATGAAAGGAGCAGAGGCTCTGGGGCTCCAGTTATTTTACTTATTATCCGGGAGCCTGTGGGCAAGTGACTTACCTTCTCTGAGCCCTGCTTGCTGATCCATGCCATAAGAGTGAGTTGCAGTGGTGATCAGAGATAAGGTTCATGGGTACTCAGCACCGTACCTAAAGGGCTTCATAGTGAGAATTTTTTAAAAATTAGAACCACTCTTATAGGACAAGGATATTGAGTCTACATTTTAAAAGTTGCCACAGCTTGGCTAGGTACGGTGGCTCAAGCCTGTAATCCCAGCACTTTGGGAGGCCGAGGCGGGCGGATCACGAGGTCAGGAGTTCGAGACCATCCTAGCCAACATAGTGAAATCCTGTCTCTACTAAAAATACAAAAAAAAAAAAAAAAAATTAGCCAGGCGTGGTGGCATGCACTTGTAATCCCAGCTACTCAGCAGACTGAGGAAAGAGAATTGCTTTAACCCGGGAGGCAGAGGTTGCAGTGAGCAGAGATCAGACCACTGCACTCCAGCCCGGGTGACAGTACAAGACTCCATCTCAAAAAAAAAAAAAAAAAAAGGAAAGAAAAAAGTTGCCACAGTTTGAAAGGGAAAACCAGGGACATTTCATTAAGCATGATGAGCATAAGGTGGCAGCTGGATATTACATTCAAGGTATTCCTTTGAATGTATTCACTTGGGCATGTTTGTTAAGGGACCAATCACAGAATGAAGGAGTCAGATAGTTATACCTTATAGGATGCTAAAATAACTGGCGCTACCTTGAACTCTAAGAGTTTATCAACTCATAGACATTAAGCCATGAGATTCTGTCCCTTACTGACCTTTATAATCTCTCTCTCCCTCTCTCTCTCTCTATCTCTTTTCCTTGGTCAACTCAAAGCTTAAAACTAAATTCACAGCTCACTTCTAGAAATCTGTATCACCTTATCAACCACTTGCTCTTCCCCTTCACCTATACTCCTATGCTAAAGTGCACTTTCCTTGGTCCTGGTATTTTTTATTCTCACTTTGCCATTGTATTATACAGATTCCCATTAACATTTTTTTTTTTAATATAGAGACCTGTCTCACTATATTGGCCAGGCTGGTCCTGAACTCATGGGCTCAAGCAATCCTCTCCCCTTGGCCTCCCAAAGTGCTGGGATTATAGGCGTGAGCCACCGTGCCTGGCCCAGATTCCCATTTTGTATAGGTCCAATGCAAAAGGGAGAGTACCTAAATGTCTTAGTCAGCTCAGGCTGACATAACCAAACTGCTTAACAGTGCAAATTAATTTTCTCACAGTTCTGGAGGCTGGAACCCCAAGATCAGTGTGTCCATATGGTCAGATTCTGATGAGGGCTCTTTTCTCGGCTTGCAGATGGCTGCCTTCTTGCTTTGTCCTCACATGGCTTGGCAGTTGGAGGATGTCAAGTGTAAGCCCCCTACTGTCTCTTATAAAGGCACTAATCCCATCATGATCCCCCCACCGTCATGATCTCCCCACCGTCATGATCTCATCTCATCCTAATCACCTCCCAAAGGCCCCGTCTCCAAATACCATCACACTGGGGGTTGGAGTTTCAACATATGAATTTTGGAAGGCTACAACATACAGGCCATGACACTAAGTAAATAATCAGATAATAAGAGTCATGTCATCTTTTGCCAAGAGCCAGCAATTTATCATCTGTGTCCCACCAGAATTTCCAGACCATCCAAAGAAATGTCTTCTTTCTTGGATCAGTCATTGTAAAACTAGGCAAGTGTGCTAACAACAGGCCACAAATATTGGTTCTCACATGGAGCCACGTGTATATCCTTTATATCCCTAGTTGTTCATCAGCCATCACTGATTCACAAAAGATAAGCAAGATCTCCTGACATATCAATTTAGTGGGTTCTCTTCCTCACTCTAGTTGGTCACCCCAAGTGTATAAAATGAGAGCCTACAACGTGGCAGGCAAGTGTAGGATGTTATGACCTCATCTAATCTCACAATTCTGACAGAAATTATTGCACTGTGTTTTGGGGTGAGAAATTAAGTCTCAATAAGATTAAGTAATGTGCATAGCATTAAGCAACCTATAATTGAGGAGCTCAGATCTGAACCCGAGTCAGTCTGAATATAAAGGCCACGAGAGGACTTAGATGTATTACTCGCCAAATGTTCATTCACTCATTGAACTTCCTGACATGTGCCAGGCTTTATGTAGGCAATAGCAATGAATAAAATAGAACAACAACAACAACAACAACAACAACAACAACAAAATTCCAGGCCGGGCACGGTGGCTCATTCCTGAAATCCCAGCACTTTGGGAGGCCGAGGCAGGTGGATCACCTGAGGTCAGGAGTTCGAGACCACCCTGGCCAATATGGTGAAAGCCCGTCTCTACCAAAAATACAAAAATTAGCCGGGCGTGGCGGCAGGAGCCTCTAATCCCAGCTACTCAGGAGGCTGAGGCACGAGAATTGCTTGAACCTGGGAGGTAGAGGTTGCAGTGAGCCAAGATCATGCCACTGCACTCCAGCCTGGGTGACACAAAGAGTCTCTGCCTAAAAAAAAAAAAAATTCCTGCCCTTATGACTTACTTACAGGAGACAGATAATAAACAAAACAAGTAAGTAAAATAAGTAGCATATCATATAGTGATAAGTAAAAGAAAAAGCAGGGCAGTGGGGTGGGGTGCAATGGTTTGTGCCTGTAATCCCAGCAATTTGGGAAGCTGAGGCAAGAGAATTGTTCGAACCCAGGAGTTTGAAACAAGCCAGGGCAACATAGTGAGATGCCATCTCTACAAAAACATTTAAAAATTACCTGTGCATGGTGGTGCATGCCTGTAGTCCCAGCTACTCGGAAAGTTGAAGCAGGAAGATCACTTGAGCCCAGGAGTTCAAGGTTACAGTGAGCTATGATTGCACCACTGCATGCCAGCTGGGTGACAGAGTGAGACCCAGGATCAACACACACACACACACACATACACACACACACACACACAGAGCCAACAACCAAAAAAAAAAAAAAAACAAGGGACGGGGACTAGGCTGACTGGGCTGGAAGGAATCACAATTTAAAATACAGTCGTCAGGAAAGACCTTACTGAGAAAGAGATAGTTAAGCAAAGACATGGAAACAGTAAATTGTATCAGAATATCATTAACCCTGACGCTCCAAAGGTTCATGGGAGAGTGACGATTTTTGAAAAGTCATTGTGTCAGGACTCTTTTTGTTGTAAATGATAGGAAAATAGGCTCACCGTGACTTCAGCAAGAAGAGGGAATGTATTAGTTCAAGGAATTGAAAAGTCCAGGTCAGGCTGGAGTCAGGGGTCAAACGACGTCATTGGGACACGACCTAGTTCATTGTGCATTTCTGCTTTTTCTGTGGTGGTTTATTTTCTAGTTCCATGTGGAGGTAGAATGGCTATCAGCAACCCCAGGCCAACATCCTGCAGAGTTCAAACCTAGAATGGAAGAAAGAGTGCCTCTTTACCAGCAGGCCAAGCAAAAGACTCAGTGCATCTTATTGGGTCACAGGCTCATCTGGGCTCATCTGAACACTTGACTATGATCGGGAACATATGGCTCTGAACGGCTGGGCTCAGTCACCTGCCTAACCCTGGAGTCACAGGGAGAGTTAACATACTGACAGTAGTGGAAGGTGGGGCCCCGAGGAAATATGGGGTGTTGACTGCAGAGTAGAGAAAGCAGCAAGTATCCATGATATCACTGATCTAAAAATAATTTCTTTTATGATATTGCATAAATTGTTGATGCAGTTTGCTCCATGCCCAAAGGGTGGTTAATAACAGATTACAGATTTCTCCCTAAGAGACAATCTACGGACAGCGTAAGCTCCTTCAGTGGGAGTCCTGGATTGAGGTCCCCTGTCGCTACACAGGACATGTGAGCAGCGCATTCACAAGCTCTCAGAGCTTCAAGGGTGGCTGGATGTTTGGTTTTATACTGTGACCTCTTGTGCTTCCTCCGTGGGCTTTAGTGAGCCACATCACAAGTGCCTGACATCCCCAGTGTCAGAAGCTCAAGGCTTTTAGAGTCTTGTTCCACTTAGGCTGACCTGTTACCTATGGGGACTGACAACATTCTAGAGACATGGTCCTAAATTCTGAAAACCTAGTCCACTACTTGAGTAGAATCTTGGTGTTTTTCTAGGAAACTGCGTTTTCACGCTTTGATGTTAGACAGCCCTGGGGCTAGATTTTGACTATCACTTACCTGCTGGGGGACCCTGAACAAGTCATGTGACTGACTTCTTGAGTCTCAGGTTTCATATTTGCATAATGAGGTCATTAAAATGAGTAAATAAATGACCAAGTATAAAGAATCTAGTAACAGCCTGGCATACAGCGGGAGCTCAGAAAATTTGTTTCATTTTTTTCCACTTCCCTGCTCCCTTTTTCCATGAGGCCATTACCAGGCTTCCCTGGAGTCCATGTTATGCAACTTGCAGATAAACCTGTCAAATAAAAAGGAAAGGAATGAAAGGGATGGGTAAATGAACCCTGGGGCAGAGCTGGGGGATGTGTAGTTGAGTGGAAAATCATAGACTTCGGAATAAAACTGAATTTTAAATACAGGCCCCATCCCTTGTTAGATAGAAGGCCTTGGGAAAATTAGTTAATATTCCAGAGTCCCAATACCCACAATGAGAAAACAATTACTGCTGTTTACAGAGGCTGTGAGGGTTAGTTGAAATAATGTAACCTGGCACACAGTAGGCCTTCGATGAGTCCTAGTTCTCTTTGTTTGCAAAAGTAATTTAATCCTTGGGTGAAAGTGATTGACAATCAAGACACTTACACACAAAAATACCCAGAGAAAATTATTTTCCTGAAGGCTCAAACATCCAGACTTTTGCTTGTTCTCCTCCCTTTTTGCTTGTGCAATTTTTTCCCCTTATGTTGGAGGCTGGGAAATAAAAGTCAGTCAACAAAGCCGTACTGACAACCCGTCATGCCCGAAGAGAATACTATGTGTTATGGATGGGAAACCAAATCAGACATAATCCTTGTCCTTGAGAAGGTTTGACCTAATTGGGGGAAATAAAACATGCAAAAGAGGTTATTTAAAATGCTTATGAATAGCCTGCTGACCAAATGCCAAGGTAGACCATGAAGGAGTGACCAGGTTTGGATGTGAAAAGTCAGGAGGGTTTCTAAGGACAGAGATTAGCAGGGAGGAGAACCCCCAGCAGAAGCCTAGAGGTGGAATGAAAAACCTCCTGCCTGTGGGATGGTGACCTCATTGACTTATCTGCACACCAGGAAGGCATTGTGTAGAGGTCATGAGATAACAAGTCAAGAGGCTCTTGAGCAATCAAATGAGGTCAATCACAAGTCTATGTTATTACCTGTTACTAGTGCTGGTAACACAAACAAATCCAGTCTCCCAAATTGACTGGTTGGAAGAAGAGCTGAAACTTTCATCCACTATAAGGTGGGGACCATTCCTCTTATGACTTTTTTATGTAAATCTGAACTTCCTGGCAATTCTTACATAGAAGTAAAACTACACATCTCTGTGTAGTGTTGCACTGAACAAGACCTGAAACTCCATCAGGTGCCACATGTCAGTATAGTAATGGTGCCACCTCTTACTGGAGCTTAAATCACTGGATCTTCCCACCTCCACAATTAAGGGCAGAGGATGCTGGTCTACGCTCCCAAGCCCACCTTAGTGTCTGAATAAAACCCTCCTCCATGCTCCTCTCTACAGCTGGGTGTCATTGTGGCGTGATGGCTATGAGCTGGCTCTGTTTCTCACTGGCTGTGTGAAACTTAGCCAGCTAACTAGGAGGATGATAATACTAATGGTAATTCTTTCCTGCAATTGTAATTAATTGGGAGGTAATTAATTTAAAAGGCTTAGCATAGTGTCTGGCACACAGTAATCACTTACTAAATAGTACTTATTATCTTAAACTAGCTTGAAGTTTGGACACTATTTTTCTCTAGAGCAGAAAGGGCAGATTTATGTGACCCAGAATGGAGGGGAGCTCCATTCATTAGGAATGGATCTAAACCCAGAGGTGATTCTAGCATGGTAGAGTGGAGAATCTTCTACCTTTACTCTTTCAGCATATTGGAATATTTGAAGCACTCTTTGGTGGGAAGGTTAATGGAAAGACTCAGTGGAGTGTGTGTATGCTTTTTTTTTTTTTGAGTATGCAAAGTACAGTAACTTTTTCAGGGCATTGCTTAGAAATGGACATGTGTGTGTGTAAGTTATGCATAAATGAAAATATAAATAAATATATATATAGTTTTATATATATAAGTAAGTTTGTTAATTTTCAGTATGATGGATCTGATGCCGCTGAAGACAGAAAGACTCAGCACGGCTTTACCACAGACTAAATGTGTGATCTGGAGAAAGTTATTTAACCCCCAGCTCAGTTTCCTCAATTGTAAATTGTTATTATTATCAAACTCAGAGGCTTATCGTGAGGATTAAACGAGATACCAAATGAAGTGTGCCTGGCCCACAGATGTTAAATGAGAGTTTAATGGAGATATGGATTATTGTCATCAAAATCTTGGTTTCTTACCCACTCATTTACTCTCTGGGATAGTTTGGAAGAAATTATACATAAGAGACAGCCTGCTTGGGGAAGACTTGATGAGGAGGAGAACTGGTTGGGTGGACATATTTGATCCTTGATGCAACTCCAATATGTGTAATGGCAACCTAAACCTCCTTTAGACAGATGATGGTAGTCATGCAGCTTGTCATGGTAGGAGGTTTCAAAATAAATTTCCTCTGCAGCAGTGCTAGGTTGTTTGCTTAGGAGATTGTACTTCTGACCTAGATCCACCCTCTCTCTCTGGACCACAGCTGATAAAGAGAAACATCTGGATTCTCCAGGTTCACTGGTCTGGGAGGAGGAGAGGGTGGAGATCTGGGCTGAGAGTGAAGACACCTGGATTCTGGTCCCACTCACCACTTGCCCATGGGCACATCACTTCATCTCTGAGTCTCAACTTCCGTGGGTTCAAACTGATGTTCTCTACATTCTTTCCAAGTTCTAGTATCTCATTATTCTACGAATGTATAACTTACTTTCTAGCTGAAGAACATGATCATACTAGACAAAGGCAATGCCAAAATGAAATCGCCTCATTCCGTTATGCAATTTCTTTGGCTTTCTAAAAGGAGTAGGGCGGGATTCAGCCAGATGAATAATGATAAGCAAACATGTTTCTAAATCCAGGATGCAGAGTCTGGTCTTTAATAACTTGGAGGCAATGCCCTCTGCTCTCTCTAACACACCCACCCCAGCGGTCCAACACAGGGCTCCTGGTTGGGAGGAATTGCTCTTACTCTTTGGCGAGGTTATTCTATTGGATTTCAGAGCTGGTTTTCAAGTGTCTGTCATTCCAGAGAGACTCTCCTCGGTTCTCAGGCACCCAGCAGAGGCAGCTCACACCCTCTCTCCACATGTTACTGTGGATGAATGTGTCAGAGCAAGTTGAGTCATGGGAAAGGCATGAGCTCTCCTACCTGCTCCCCAGGCAGGTCCCTCCAGGGCTATTTTCTCTGGAACCAAGCTTAGTCACTTGCCAAACTCTCAAAACAGAGATGTCTCTAAAATTCCAGGACTGTTTGTTCCCAGGCAAAGTACCTTATTTGGTGGTAAACATAAAGTGGATAGAAAGTCTCTTCTGAGAAAAGCCACCCATTGAGTGATGAGAACTGGCCACCAAGAATATAACTGGGCACTTACTAGCACAAGCAAGTATAATTGCCATTGCTACATTTGTAAAGCCCTTGGCCATTGATGAAGCCCTTTTGCATGCTTTGCACCAACGTATTGGCCTCACCACAACTCTATGTAGTAGGTAGTATTATTTTTAAATTAATTAATTAATTATTATTATTTTTGAGATGAAGTCTTGCTCTGTTGCCCAGGCTGGAGTATAGTGGCATGATCTCAGCTCACTGCAACCTCCACCTCCTAGGTTCAAGCTATTCTCCTGCCTCAGCCTCCTGAGTAGCTGGGACTACAGGCACCAGCCACCACGCCCAGCTCATTTTTGTAATTTTTAGTAGAGATGGGGTTTCACCATGTTGCTCAGGCTGGTCTTGAACTCCTGACCTCAGGTGATCTGCCTGCCTTGGCCTCCCAAAGTGCTGGGATTACAGGCGTGAGTTACTGCACCCAGCCTTTTTTTTTTTTTCTTTTTGGAGAGACAGGGTCTCACTCTGTCACCCAGGCTGGAGTGCAGCAGTGCAATCATGGCTCATTGTAATGATAGGTATTATTAAACCTATTTTCCAATGAGGAAAGTGAAGTTTAGGAAGACTAATTTTTGCCCAAAGTCACACAACAGATAAAGAGTGAGTCTGGGACCTTAACTCAAGTCTTCTGACCCTGAATTCAGTGCTTTTACCATCAATACAACAGAACCAGGAAGTCCATTCAAATCTACATCCCCATATAAGCAGGAAGAACTCTGTGAATACTTCTTGGTCAATGATCTCGTGATTCATCAGCCCAGTTTTCTTGACAATATCATTTTTATAGCCGTTTAGTCATTTTCCTGACACAGTATGGCTCATGCGCAACAAAATTAATCAGATAAGATATTGGAGCTGCTCTTGAGAAGTTTACATTCCAGAGAAACAATTCAGATGGGAGAACAGCGTTTTATGATTTTGGTTTAAAGTCAGTGCAGAATAAGGGTTAAGAGACTAAAAAAAAAAACTTCCTATGGAAAAATTAGTTCACTAACGCAAGTTAAAATCATCAATACTTTTTTTTTTTTTTTTGAGACAGAGTCGTGCTTTGTCACCCGGGCTGGAGTGCAGTGGCACAATCTCGGCTCACTGCAAGCTCCGCCTCCCGGGTTCACACCATTCTCCTGCCTCAGGCTCCCGAGTAACTGGGACTACAGGCGCCCGCCACCACGCCCAGCTAATTTTTTGTATTTTTAGTAGAGACGGGGTTTCACCATGTTAGCCAGGAGGGTCTCGATCTCCTGACCTCGTGATCCGCCCGCCTCTGCCTCCCAAAGTGCTGGGATTACAAGCGTGAGCCACCGTGCCCGGCCAATACATTCTTTAATTCGCCAAGTATTTGCTAAGCATCTGTTATGTGTCAAGCTCTGTACTAGCAACTAAGAACCACTTAGTCCCGACTAGGTAACTTAACAGTTCTCAGGGGTAGGTAGAGATGTCAATACGTCATTGCAATGGAGTGTAATAAGGGCCCCAGGAAAGACACAAAGTTTTGTAGCACATAGAGGCAGAGAAGGCTTAACAGAAGAGGTAATTTTTTTTTGAGACAGGGTCTCACTGTGTTGCCCAGGCTGGAGTGCAGTGGTGCAATTATGGCTCACTGCAACTTCCACCTCACGGGTTCAAGCGATTCTCCCACCTCAGCCTCCTGAGTAGCTGGGACTACAGGTGCATGCCACACCTAGCTAATTTCTGTACTTTTAGTAAAGATGAGTTTTCACCATGTTGGCCAGGCTGGTCTCCAACTCCTGACCTCAAGTTATCCTCCCTCCTCAGCCTCCCAAAGTGCTGGGATTACAAGCATGAGCCACCACACCCAGCCTGAAGCAGTCATATTTTACCTGAAGTGTAAACAATTAATAAAAATTGCCAAATAAATAAAGGGTACATGATCATTTGAGAAAGTCGTCATCATCACCACCATCATCATCAGTACAACCACCGTCACTCTATAATTACCTCCTATGTGCCAGACAATCTACTAAGCCTTCTGTGTACATTAACTCATTTGATCCTCTCAGCAAACCACAAGGAGGTATTGTAATTGTCCCCGATTTTTCAGATGAGGAAAATGACGAGAGAGATTAAGTGGCTTACCCAAAGTCACCCAGAGTCAGGATATGAAATTGTGCCATCTGGTTCCAGAGATCATATGGTTGATAATGGAAGGAACAACCAGTACAAAGATGAGAACGTATGCATGGGTGTTTATGTGAAGGATTGAGATTATTTCAGTGCGGCTGGAACATGGTATATAAATGTGTCTACCTCAGTGGCTCTCCCAATCTCTGTGCCTCTTCTCCTGCTTTCTCATCATTCTCTCTATGCAGTACTATTTTAAATACATAGCTTGAGCTTTTGAACCACACTACAGATGCAGACTTGGGCTCCAAATCTGAAAAAATGCTAGCCCATGGTTATAACCTCTTAGAGATCAGTGTTTTTTCTTTTCTTTCTTTTTTTTTTTTTTTTTGAGACGGAGTCTCGCTCTGTCGCCCAGGCTGGAGTGCAATGGCACGATCTCTGCTCACTGCAAGCTCCGCCTCCCGGGTTCACGCCATTCTGCTGCCTCGGCCTCCCGAGTAGCTGGAACTACAGGCGTGCGCCACCTTGCCTGGCTAATTTTTTGTATTTTTAGTAGAGACGGAGTTTCACCGTGTTCGCCAGGATGGTCTCGATCTCCTGACCTCGTGATCCGCCCGCCTCAGCCTCCCATAGTGCTGGGATTACAGGCGTGAGCCACTGTGCCTGGCCTTTTTTCTTTTCTTTCTCCCTGACTCTGATTGGTGCCAAGACCTCACTTTCCATCACCCCATGGGGTGTTGTGGGAGGGGCCAGTTTACTTCTGCTTCACACGGACTTGAGGAGGTGACTGTGGAATTCCTGGTAATCCCTAGCCTTGACTTCTGTGTTCTTGCTTCCAGAGTCCATCAGAACCACAGCTCAGTTTTGCAGCTTGGAGAATTCAGATGGACAAATGCCTTCACAGGAAAGGTGGCTTTGATGTTCCACTTATTTCTCTGGGTTCTTGCTTTCTCTTAGACTTGAGGCTGGAATTTCTTACCATCCTGTCAGCAATTTGATGCTTTTACAAATATGAAAAGAGAATTATCCAGCATGCTTAGTTATTTTCAGCAGGAGAGTTGGTCTAAATTACTAGTCCTTCAACTACAGGAAACTCAAAGTCCCAAGACTCATCCAACTTTCACAACAACCCTATGATGTAGATACAATTAACTTGATTTTTCCAATGAGGCAAATGTGATTCAGGGAATTTAAATAACTTGCAAAAGGTCACACAGTTAATAGATGATAGGGCCAAGCTTCCAACCCAAATTTCTCTGACTTTAATTTCCACATCTCTCCCACCATATTCCCAGGTTCACCACTCACTAGCTGTGTGGCCTTGGGGAAGTCACTTAACCTCTCTGTGTTTAAATTTTCTCATTTACAAAATGAAGGTAATAAAAGAATCAACATCAAAAAACTGTGCCAGTGAAATCAATTAGTGCATGTATAGCATTTATAACTGCCTTGCACATAAAAAGAACAAATATTTGCAGTTTCTAACATTATTATTATAGTTCTCTAGGGAAATCCAACTTGTCTACAAGCTGGAAGTTTATGACCTATGATCTATTTAGAGAATACTTGCCAGTCTCAATCTCTATCTCTCTGTCACACACACACACACACACACACAGAGAGGCACACACACATACACACACAAATTCTCTGTCTCTCATTCATTCATTCATTCACCCTTTATGGGCAGCCTTCAGTGTGTAAGGCCTTCTACACAGAGTACATTTACGTCTTGCAGAGCTTTGTGCCAAGGCCATGGGTTTCTTCCCACTCTGGAGTCTTGTTTTCCAAAGGGAGGAGGAACTTCCCTTCTGGTCTGTAGGATAAGAGAGGAGGCCTGTCTGAGTAAATAAATATTTTGGAGTTACAGTATGTGATGATGTCCTTTCCTGTTTTCTTCTCCTGTTTCTGTAGCCTCCTGGTACACAGTGGATAAACAGGGAGTTACTCTTGTGGAGGCTCTGCCACCAGGCCCTCACCTCCCCCAGATGACAGGAGTCCTAAAGCCTTAGTTAGTTGCATCTCTTTCTTTTTCCAAGTGTCAGCTACCTCTTTAGAGACTGCCAGACCCTCTCTGAAGATGACAGGCCAAACTCAGAGGAGCCAGAGAGTCATTCATCAGATGAAGAGGTGACTAGCCACAAATATCCATCAATTACTTGCCATGTGCAAGGAATGCTATGTTGATGTTGTGGAGGACGGGAAGGTTATCATGACACAGCTTTGTGATGAGGTAAGGAGCACAACAGCTCATAAATAATTTTCATTTAACAACAGAAGATTGTCATAAGGCAGTATTTAGGTACAAAGTGAATGAAATAGCTGTCGATGCAGTACAAGGGATTCAGAGGGGAAAGAGGGAAGTGTGTGTGTGTGTGTGTGTGTGTGTGTGTGTGTGTGTCTGTGTGTGTGTGTGTGGTGGAGTGTGAGTGTGTTTTGTGATTGGTGTCAGGGTCCCACTTGGGAGGCAAGTTGAGTGAGAACACCATCCATGGGATAGGGTGTGGGAAAATAGTGGGGTTTAGGGTCCAGGAAATACGGGGAAGGACTACAGGCAATATGTCTAGTTAGAGTACAAAGATTCTAGGTGTGAGCCATGGTCACAGTAGGTATTTAATCTGAAGGGTGGTTCAAGGCAACGCATATGAAATCAAGCGATGTCCACCTTGATCTTGTTCCTTTAAACCAGCTGGCCTATCCACGCACCACACATTTATTGGTAAGGCTAGTCCTGGATGCATTAATACCTTTTCTTTTTGAGACAGGATCTCACTTTGTAGCATAGGCTACAGTGCAGTGGCATGAACATGGCTCTTTGTAGCCTTGACCTCCTGGGGTCAGGTGATCCTCCTGTAGCTGGGACGATAGGCATGCACCACCACACCCAGCTAGTTTTGTATTTTTAGTAGAGACAAGGTTTCACCATGTTGCCCAGGTCAGTCTTGAATTCCTCGGCTCAAGTGATCGGCCCGCTTTGGCCTCCCAAAGTGCTGGGATTACAGGCGTGAGCCATGCCCAGTCCATCAACACCTTTCTAGTAATAATCTAGAATCCTTCACTCTTGCCCTTGAGAATAGGAAAGTGAAAGGCTTCCTAACTCAGAGACTTATTAGACGGTGAAAGTGGAAGAGTTAGCTTCTGGTCATTCAAAATAAACTGAACCTAACCTCTCTTGTTCCAGCCTCTGAATCCCAGGTTTCATAAAGCTTGTTTCTGTTCTTATACTACTTCCTGTGGATCCTTATTCCTGTAGATGTAATCTTGGGCCTGGATGAAATGAAGCATAAAGAAGGAGTCAAAGACAGTGATTAAGAACTAGGCGGGATGTGGTGGCTCACACCTGTAATCCCAGCACTTTGGGAGGCCGAGGCGGGTGGATCACAAGGTCAGGAGATCGAGACCATCCTGGCTAACACGGTGAAACCCTGTCTCTACTAAAAATACAAAATATTAGCCGGGCATTATGGCTGGCACCTGTAGCCCTAGGTACTCGGGAGGCTGAGGCAGGAGAATGGCGTGAACTCAGAAGGCGGAGCTTGCAGTGAGCCGAGATTGTGCCACTGCACTCCAGCCCGGACGACAGAGCCAGACTCCATCTCAAAAAAAAAAAAAAAAAAAGACAGTGATGAAGAACTAAGACCAAGAAAAAGGCTCATCCTAAGACCAAGAAAAAGGCTCATCCTGTATGATTCCCGGTAGGCACTGCAGAGGTGGGCATGGCTTTTTTTTTTTTTTTTTTTTTGAGAGGGAGTTTTCGCTCTTGTTGCCCAGGCTGGAGTGCAATGGCACGATCTTGGCTCACTGCAACGTGGCATTTTTAAAGTGTTGACCAGGGTGGACCATTCTGGAGTGTCAATGGCATAAAATAGTATTAGTATGTTTATTGTTTGTAAATGTTATCAAGATGTGATTCAATTGAAATCTTTTTTTTTTTTTTTTTTTTTTTTTGACAGAGTCTTACTCTGTCACCCAGGCTAGAGTGCAGTGGTGCCATTTCAGCCTCCCAAGTAGCTGGGACTACAGGCCTGCACCACCATGCCTGGCTAATTTTTGTATTTTCAGTAGAGATGGGGTTTCACCATGTTGGCCAGGCTGGTCTCAAACTCCTGACTTCAAGTGACCTGCCATCCTTGGCCTTCCCAAAGTGCTGAGATTACAGGTGTGAGCCACTGTGCCCAGCTTGAAATCTTTAATACTAATAATTCCATTATTCTGTTTGATGTTTGCATACCAGTTGGTGTAAAACACAAAGGTAGCTGCAGATCCAGTTGCTCAGTAGTTCTTAACCTTAATGCCACCAGCTGAGTGGTTGTGAGGTGTTTTCAAGGTACTTCTTTCTTGTGTTGCTTTGAGAGAAAGGATAAGGGAATGAAAATAGCAGAATGAGCAATGGAAAAAGGAGGGAGCGGGGTTTTAACCTTGGCCCCCAAGAGGCAGCAAAGGAAAAACAACACAAAGAGAATGAGAAATCCAGACAGTCATTGAAAGGAGAGGGAAACGCCTCAGGAAATGCAAGAGAAAGCAAAGGCTGTGGGGTAGGAAATAGATAGAGACTGAGAGTCCTAAGCATGAGCACTAAAGGGACTGGGGTAGTCTCAGTTGGAGACGGCAGCATTTTCCAGAAAGATTAAAGCCCATTATTACCTTTAGAAACAAAAAGGATGTTGGAAGCAGAGAGCACAGTGGTGTGACTGCCCTGCCGTGGTTCATGAGCTAGATGCCAGCCGAGGTAACATCCCCGGAGCAGGAGCTGAGAAGGGAAACATCCTCCACGTGGACAGACACATGCTGCAGAGCCTGGAAATCATCCCAGTGCAGATCCCTTTTTAAAAGCCCACAAAACAGTGCCTGGAGGTACATTTCCAGCAACTGACTAGGGGTTCAGGGTTGCAGCCGAGCTGAGCTGGGAGTCTCGATAGATTCAAATGGACCAAGCCTTTGACCAAAAGGAGAAGAGAATGCACATTTGTTGAGCACAATAATGCTGTGAAGAGGATGCTCTTACCTCCATTTTGCAGGTGAGCAAAGAGATGGAGTATACAGTGACAATACATTATTCATCCCTGCTCAAGGTCACACGTGAGAAAGTGTGAAGCTGGGATTCAAACCCCAGCCTTTCTGTCCTCAAGCCTCACCACTTACGTCATGCTGGGCATCGTTTCATTTTTTGAAATCTCACCTAGTGCCAACTTCTTTATATACTTTCTCTGAGCTATAACAGGATCCAGCCATGAGCTTAAGTGTCAGCATGTCAGCATTTCAAAAACCTGCCACTTCCACATGACCCTAACACCTAGAGCTATAATTGGGTAGGATCTCAGGGCCCAGGCATCTCTTTCCTTTTCTGATGATTTCATGGGGTGTGGGGGCAGGGAGCCCTGAGCGGATAGAGTCCAGATTAGGAAATATTTCCTTAACTGGCCCTAAGGCGTGTGCTCATATATTTCTTTCCTTATATTCATAGACTTATTTAAGAAATATAGACCCCAGAAGATGAACACACTCAATAGATTTTCCTTCTATTATTTGGAGGAATGATGTGATACAATTGATTTCTATCTTTGTTAAAACATTTAATTACATCTTTCATCTTAAATTATTTGAAAATAGAAGCATTTTTAATAAAAATGGCTGTATAGGGGAAAGTAACTAATATTCACTGTGAGCCTGTTTGTATCAGGTGCTTTAATCTAGATGATTTCCTTTACTTCTAGGGGGAAGGTATTACTATGGCCACTTCATAGAGAACGAAACTGAGGTTCAGAGACATTACCAAAATAGTAGGTGGTCAGAGCTGGGATTTGAACCCAAGGACACTTGAATCTTGACTAGGCAACATGTCAGGCTTTAAGAAGGAAGTCTTGGGATTAAAATAGAAAAAACATTTAAGGAGCTTAGGACAATATCTGGGACATAGTAAGCTTTAAATAAATGTTAAGTATCGCTACTGGTGTTATTATTATTGAAAGATGATCTGTAAGACCACCTTAAAATTTTTAAAAAAAATTTTGAGACAGGGTTTGGCTCTGTCATCCAGGCTGAAGTGCAGTGGTGCAATTGCAGCTCACTGCAGCCTCGACCTCCTGGGCTCAAGCGATCCTCCCACCTCAGCCTTCTGAGTAGCTGGGACTACAGAAGCATGTCGCCATGCCCGGCTAATTTTTTAAAAATGTTTTGTAGGGATGAGGTCTCGTTATGTTGCCCAGGCTGGTCTTGAACTCTTGGGCTGAAGTGATCCTCCTGCCTCTGCCTCCCAAAGTGCTAGGATTATAGGTGTATAACCACACCCAACCAAAGACCACATTTTAAAGAGAATCTCTGATGTATTAATTTTCAACCACATCTGGCAGACGAATGAATACCTGGAGATATGACAGTGATCATTATTCTGATGGCAACACTGGCAGGTTACATTTACACAGTGATTTGGGCTTTGCAGTCTTTCCATGGTATCCCCATTCCTAGGGAAAACGGACCATCCTACAGGATTCCAGGAGGCTATTGACTTGTCTTTTGATAGTCAACAGCTGGAAGGAAATACAGAGGGATTGTATGAGTTCTGAGTGCTGGCGGCAGTTGTAAAAATGCAAGCTCAGGCCTTCCTTGTAATTAGCAGAAAACAGTCAAAGGTCAGAGATAAGAAACAGAAGGGCTGAGTCCGTTGTGGGAAGCTCGTCTGGAACCCTCTCTGCTAAAGCATTCCCGAGGTTGGTGGAGAGGATCAGGGTGAGCTTCTTACTGACGACCTGTCTAAAAGATCAGAGGAACGGCTGATATTTAAGGAATTTTTATCTCCATTTTCCCCCTTGAAATTTGCTTCATGTGGGCTACTAGTTTGCTATTTCATTTTTCCGGTGTTTAGAAAAATAAGTTACATTTTGGCGACTATTTCCTTGCTCTGGCCCTTGCTCTTGGCCATGCTGTTTACCTTTCCTGCCTGAGCACCTCCTGCTGGCTCCTCAGGGCTTACTCAAGAATCTTTTTTTTTTTCCAGTGGCACAATCTCGGCTCACTGCAACCTCTGCCTCCCAGGTTCAAGCAATTCTCCCGCCTCAGCCTCCTGAGTAGCTGGGATTACAGGCATGCGCCACCACACCCCACTTTTTTTTTTTTTGAGATGAAGTCTCAGTCTGTCGCCCAGGCTGGAGTGCAGTGGCTCAATCTTGACTCACTGCAAGCTCCACCTCCCTGGTTCATGCCATTCTCCTTCCTCAGCCTCCCGAGTAGCTGGCACTACAGGTGCCCGCCACCATGCCTGGCTAATTTTTTGTATTTTTAGTAGAGGCAGGGTTTCACCGTGTTAGCCAGGATGGTCTCGATCTCCTGACCTCGTGATCTGCCCAGCTCGGCCTCCCAAAATGCTGGGATTACAGGTGTGAGCCACCACGCCCGGCCCCGCACCTGGCTTATTTTTGTATTTTTAGTAGAGAGGGGGTTTCACCATGTTGATCAGGCTGATCTCGAACCCCTGACCTTGTGACCCACCTGCCTTGGCCTCCCAAAGTGCTAGAGATTACAGGCATGAGCCACCGTGCCCGGCCTCAAGCATCTTAAGCCTCCCTGAACTGCTTGCTTCTCCTCCTCTCTCTCCCCAGTCTAGGCTAAGTACCCCCTCTCAAGGAGATCCCGGGCATGCTTCTCTACCTATATCATAGCCCATATTACTTTGAAGTGATGTCTCTTTCTGCCTTGAAAATATTTGGTAAGTGTCTGAATCTGCTTTTGGAGAGGAGCACCTGGGCCTTATATCCTTCATCAACAGAGCAACTGGTATGCAGTAAGTGCTCAAGAAAGAGCAGTCCAGTGGAAATGTCTCCAAAACAGAGTGAACCCATCTCTCAGTCCACCATGCAGGCGATAGTCAGAATCACATGACTAAAAACAACCTACGTCCAGTTTTATTTATTTATTTATTTATTTATTTATTTATTTATTTTAGAGTTCTCTAATTGCCAAATCTTATTTTGAGGGATAAAAAGCCAAAAAGGTGAGTCTGAAAATCTAGGTATAAATATAGATAAGCCAGGTGCGGTGGCTGACACTTGTAATCCCAGCACTTTGGGACGCCAAGGCGGGCAGATCACAAGGTCAGGAGTTCGAGACCAGCCTGGCCAATATGGTGAAACCCCGTCTCTACTAAAAAAACTACAAAAATTAACTGGGCGTGGGGGGTGCCTGTACTCCCAGCTACTAGGGAGGCTGAGGCAGGAGAATTGCTAGAACCCGGGAGGTGGAGTTTGCAGTGAGAAGAGATTGTGCCACTGCACTCCAGCCTGGGCAATAGAGCAAGATTCTGACTCAAAAAATATAGATAGATAGATAGATAGATAGATAGATAGATAGATAGATAGATAGATAATGACAAAATGACCACAGATGACAAGGATGAAAGTTTGGGTGATGGATTTTCTCTTTCCCAGAGATAGACTTTCTTGGACCTGCCTAATGTTGTCACTATTCATTTAATGTCCCTTTAGGTCAACAGCCAGAAACGGAGACAAATGCTGGCTTCCGTAGCAGCAGGCTGCCTCTAGCAGGTCTTTTTCCAGTTCTAAGCTGGGATCCAAGCCTGTTGTGGGCTACAGTATGCAGGATTTGCACTTCCCTGGCACATGGATGAGACACTGTGATCCCATTGGTAGCTGAAATTCCATGTTTATGCAGAAGAACATCTGTAGATTTTGTCTCTGGTACAGCCCAGTTACAGTCAGACTCGGTATTTAAAGAATGAAGCAAAGCAACCACAGAAAGAGATAAAATGGCAAGAACTCTCCGTCTGGAGTCTTTGTAGTTGTTTCAAATATGAACAGACAGGAAAAGAAAATAGGAAGATAGAGGGTGGGAGTGGGAAGAGAGATATGAGCATTTATCTACCAAAGCTGGCATATGATCAGTCCTGTGTCAGCTTTGGGGTAGAGAGAACCTAGACGATTTAGATCCAGATAGATGTGGGCTCCTGGCTCTGGCATGTGCATGATGATGCTGGTACAAGGTTATTCACTGCAACATTGTTTATAGTAGCAAAAGACGGGAAACAACCCTATGTCCACCAACAGAAGACTGCTCCATTAAATTACGGTATGTCCATGCAATGGAATATTGTGCAGCTGCAAAATGAAAAGAATGAGGAAGCTCTTTATGTGCTGGTAATGAAAAGATCTCAAGATATTTTGTTGATCTCAAGCTCTTTATGTGCTGAAAGAAAAAAAAGCAAGGCATGGAACGGTATGCACGGTATGCCATGTTTTGTGTAAAAATGGAGAAAAATAAGACTTTGTACTCTATTAACTGGAATATGCATAAAGAAATGCTAAAAGTGGCCGGGCGCGGTGGCTCATGCCTGTAATCCCAGCACTTTGGGAGGCCGAGGCGGGCGGATCACGACGTCGGGAGATCGAGACCATCCTGGCTAACACGGTGAAACCCCGTCTCTACTAAAAGTACAAAAAATTAGCCAGGCGTGGTGGCACGTGCCTGTAGTCCCAGCTACTTGGGAGGCTGAGGCAGAAGAATGGCGTGAACCCAGGAGGTGGAGCTTGCAGTGAGCTGAGATAGTGCCACTACTCTCCAGCCTGGGCGACAGAGAGAGACTCTGTCTCAAACAAACAAACAAAAAAGAAATCCTAAAAGTATACAAGGAACAAATGGTGGTTACCTGTGTTTGTGGCAAGGAGACAGATGGGGGAAACTGACAATCCGGGGGTCAGCAGACAGGAGACTTTGTATTGTATACCTTTCTACAGTTTTGATTTTTTTTTTTTTTTGAGCCAGAGTCATGCTCTGTCACCCAGGCTGGAATGCAGTGGCATGATCTTGGTTCACTGCAACCTCTACCTCCTGGGCTCAAAAGATTCTCCTACCTCAGCCTCCCCAGTAGCTGGGATTATAGGCACATGCCACCACGCCGGGCTGATTTTTGTATTTTTAATGGAGATGGGGTTTCACCATGTCGGTCACGCTGGTCTCAAACTCCTGACCTCAGGTGATCTGCCCACCTTGGCCTGCCAAAGTGCTGGGATTACAGGCATGAGCCCCCGCGCCTGGCCCCCTTTCTACGGTTTTGATTTTTGAATCATATGACTATATTACCTGATTACAAGCCAAATCAAACAAACAAGCATCATAGCTCTGTCATTGTTACCAGCTGACCCTGGCAAGTTACTTAACCTCTTCCAGTCCTACTTTCCACATTAGAGAAATGGGGATATTTATATTTGCCCCACCGGGCTGTGAGGTCACTGAACATCACTAACAATGGAACGTAGAAAGCACTAAACACAGAGCGGGGCGGGGTAGGGGGAATGGGTGCTCCCAAAGGGTGGGTCATACCCCTTCCCTATAGCAATGCCAGCATCTCTCAGGTGTTGTGTGTGATTGTCATGTGTTGGCTCACATTTCTCAAGAAGCACTTCAGGAGCCACTTTCTGCTGCTTGCCTTGTTGTGAATCTGTCCGAGTCCTCACCCCAGTTAAAAATGTCCAGTGACCTTAAGAGTTCAAGCACCTCTGAACACTCCTCTGGTAGGTGGGGCAAGCCTCTAGAAACTTCTGCTTCACTTTTCTGCTTGATTGATTTCTCCCCACTCAGCTCCCCCTGCAGAGTCAACTCCCACTCACCCTCCCGGGGAGCAGTCCCCGCCTCAGGTACCTCACTGTGACAGAAGCCGGCTCACTGAACACTGAACATTTGGACAGTATTTGGGTCCATTCTGTCTCCATCTCGCTCGATTGCCCTCTCTCTGAATCGGTTCTCTGGGCTTCAGAATCCTAGTGAAGTCAGAGGACAGTTGCCTCTCATCAGAGAACCAAAACCTTCTGCCCCCAGGCAGTGTCCCTTAGGAGGCCACTTGGCACATCCAGCTCTCCCTTGGTAACTTAGAGGCCCCGGGGTGCTCTAACTTCCAGGCTGGCATGTGATCTCCTGCAGGCCTGTGTAGAGAGCCCTCAGCGGGGCGGGAGGATGTGAGGAAAGAACAGAGTGTTCCAGGCAGAACAAAGCCAGCTGCAAATTTGCTCAGGCCCTTTCGTTTCTTCCTTGAAGGGACCAAGTGCAGCCTCTAGCGGCTGCTTCCGGACATGGTCATGGGAGTCAGACCTGTGGGACTTGTGGGACTTGTTCACCTTAAACTGGGCCACAGCTCCGGAGCCTGAGGAGGCAGCAGGACTTGCTGACATGGTTCTTTGAAAACCTTCACCAGGCAGAGTTGTGGTCTGTTCCGCAGGCCAGTGCATGAGTCAGACTGAACCTGTACCCCACGCAGCTCAGGTCCAGGGTTCAGGACCAGGCTGATTTCTGCAGTGAGCTCAGCTTCCTAACCCACAAGGGCGTGCAGAACTCCCCCTTGCTCCTTCCTGTAGCTGCGCCCTCGGCCCTACCCTCCTCCCCAGCAGATCTGTTCCCCACCTCGATTGTCATGGGCTGTCTGCAGCGATGGCAGGGGTTTGCAGCTGTTAGTGGCTGCTTTCCTTGAAGTTCTTCTTTGCACAGATCCTGAGACTTGATATTTGTTGAATGAACAACATCAATCCAATTTGAGTAGGTTGAAAGCAGACCTGAAGTTGAACCGGACCCATTCGCCTTAACTTATTTTCTAGGTTATTTAAAAACGTATATCAACTCCTCTTACAAATTTTGGTATTGTGGAATGCTATGTTGGAAATACTAATCAAATAGATCTCTCTTCTTTCATGGAACACCAGTATAAATTCTCTGTTCCCTAATGAAAACAAACAAACCCCCCAAACAAAAGCACCAAACACTTGAGCTCTCATAGGGTACATGAAACTATTTCAGGGGTTAGGCACGGCATTTCCTCTAACTCAAGGTGAATCCCTTTAGGGCACTCAAAGGGCTGCAGCACAGCATTTACTTTTTTCCACATATTCCTTCAAATTTCTGTTTTCTGTATTACCAGCTACCATCCACAGAGAGTCATAAATCCCCTGGAGGAGTCGTATGTGATCCCACGTGATTAACTTTGCATCTGTTTTGCAGCTGTTCACTCTGCAGTTTTATTTTGCCTTTTGGAAACCTCAGAGCAGTGCTTCTCAAATGTTAACGTGCATACGATGAATCACGTGGGCATCTTGTTAAAATGCAGAGTTTTGAGTCGAGGGTCTGGGGAGGGCTGAGATTGTGCACTTCTAAGGAGATGCCAGGTGGTGCTAATTCTGCTGCACTGGACACCACACTTAGAGTGGCGAGGTCACTAAATAATAGGAGCAAAAGGATCGTGAGAACACCGACATCAGTGAGAAGGAGGCTGGCTGCAGAGACCATGGTAGGAGGAGTTTTCCTTGGTGATTCTGCTCTTCTCTCCGCGCCCTTTCACTTTCCCTTTCCTTGTAAATATCCTTTACTGTGGTCTTTCTTTGATTAAAGAGAAACTGTGTGAGCAGAGCCAAAGGCCACGTTCATCTATGGGTAGCATCTATGCTTCTTCAGGTCGTCTGGGCTGGAAGAAAACAAAAAAGTTCTGCAGCCAGAGATAACTGAAACCAGTGAGACTTCTGCAGCTCGTGTGTGCGCACCCAGAAACAGACCCAAAGCCAGCAGTTTCAGTTCCCTCAACTTAATTTTACTAATGTGATAGAGAGGCAGCAAACATCTGCAAGGAACCAGAAATCCTTCCTTTACGTGTGCTGTAATCTAAAACAGTTTCTCAACCGTGGTGCCGCTGACATCTTGGGCTGCCTAACAGTTTGCTGACCAGGAGGCCGAGTGTCCTGTGCACTGCAGGCTGTTTGGCAGCATCCCTGGACTCTACCCACAAGATGCCAGCAGCACTCCCAAGCTATGACAACCCAAAATACCTCCAGACATTGCCAGATGTCAACTTGAGGGGCAAAATTGCCCCCTGGTTGAGAATTACTGGTGTAGGATAGATAAGGTAGAATCTGTCAGTTCTACAGAATGTCTACCTTCCCCATAGGGAAAGAAAGTTTTTTCTTCATACTTGTGGTAATTTCCAAACGTTTCTGTAATAAACATGTTTTACTTTTATAGTTAGAAACAACTATTTGGAAAAAGAAAATAAAATGTTTTAAGAAGAGTTTCATCATTCTCATGCTAGAAAAAAATATATATATATATACGTATTTTGAGACAGAGTCTCCCTCTACCAGGCTGGAGTCCAGTGGCGCGATCTCGGCTCACTGCAAACTCTGCCTCCTGGGTTCAAGCAATTCTCCTCCCTCAGCCTCCTGAGTAGCTGGGATTATAGACACCTGCCACCGTGCCCACCTAATTTTTGTATTTTTAGTAGAGACGGGGTTTCACCATGTTGTCCAGGCTGGTCTGGAACTCCTGACCTCAGGTGATCCATCCGCCTCAGCCTCCCAAAGGGTTAGGATTACGGGCATGAGCCACCACACCTGGCCCTTAGTGAACTGTTTCTCAGTGAGACACCACCAAGTGAAATTTCCAGATAAGTGAAGCTAAGTCATGTGGGTTTATATTCTGTGCTTCTTCTAATTCTTTCCGGCTTCTAGAGAAAAAGATCTGAGATTGTTCATATGCAGCAGGAAAGAACATCGTCTACCATGGGTTTGGGTGTAGGGTGGAGGTGCCATTATGCTTGCTGTGGATTTGTCTTTTTAAAAACTGAATTGCTATCTTTCCTTGCACCCCAACATTTGGTTTGCTCTTAATAAGGCGGTAACTGTGGTCTAATGGAAAGCACGTTGGCCTCGGGGTCTGAAGATCTGAGCTGGAATCTCAGCTATGCCACTTACTATGACCTTGAATGAGTGGGTCATTGACTCTCCCCTCCTGAGCTTGGACTATGAGCTATTCATTCCCAGCTCATAAGGTGTGTGTGAGGATTAGAGGAGATGACAGATGAAAACATCTACTTAGTATCCAGCTTATGGGGAGTGCTCAATCATTTATGTGCATTTATACAACCCTTATTTATTTATCCATCCAATAAGTAGGTGACATAAATCTGGGGGCAGGGAATATGATACTGTACTGAATACTTAGAAAATTTCCAAAGATGAAAATAGGGCCCTAAAGGGGTTTGTTCAGGAGAAAGGAAGCATCCTTTCCTTTAGGTCAAACATCCTCTCAAAGCGAAGGTATATTTAGAAGCCTTCAAACTGGCTTCCTGCACTAAGGGAAGAAATATTTGCATTTGTAGAGATGACTTATTAGGGAAGCTCTAATAAGTTCTCACAGTGTGGCTCCTTGATCAGCATCAGCATCACATGAGAACTTGTCAGGAATGAAATGACAAAGGCCAGCTCCTAAAACTCAATCGATTTGTAGGTAAAATACTCAGGCCCTCGCTCATAGGCTTGGTTCTTATCAGATGCTTTTAATCCATAGCAGAGAAAAAACAGCAAATAGGAAGTGAAGTGGAGCTATTAGAAGGTGGACCAATAAAGGCAGAGATAAGATGGCAATCGATGGAGAAAATTCAAATACTAAGTCCAGACTTAAGCTCTTTAAATGTAGGTAAACAGCAACATACTTCCTCAATAGCCTATGGTCATTACTTAATATTCTAAAGGGAGATATCTGTAGTGCTGGCCTAGAATCATCAAGAAAAACTTAAACCATGTTTTTGTGTTCTGTTTAAAATGGTAGGATGGTATGGATTTCAGAAAGACTTTTTTTTTTTTTTTTTTTTTTAGATAGAGATTCACTTTTCTTGCCCAGGCTGGAGTGCAATGGCGCATTCTTGGCTCACTGCAACCTCCGCCTCCCAGGTTTAAGAGATTCTCTTGTCTCAGCCTCCCGAGTAGCTGGGATTACAGGCATGTGCCACCACACCCAGCTAATTTTTGTATTTTTAGTAGAGATGGGGTTTCACCATGTGGGTCAGGCTGGTCCCAAACTCCTGACCTCAGGTGATCTGCCCGTCTCGGCCTCCCAAAGTGCTGGGATTACAGGCGTGAGCCACTGCACCCGGCCAGAAGACTTTTTTAAAATAAAAAATATACTTCAAATAACATTTGAGTACTTTAAGGAGTTAGCTTTACTTATTTGGGAATTTCACTTTGTGGCATGCTTCCTTCCCCCAAGAAACTGATCAATGAGGCATCACTGTAACTTGTTGAGGTCAAGTGCTATTTCCCATACTTTTACCCACTCCTGTTTGACCACACTGTAAGAACTCAATAAATATGTGTTGGTTGATTAAGCTTCCCTCTGGGCATTGGGAAAAAAAGGGGGTAAACTCAATTGTTTTATAGTTATCATGCTGTTGCCACAATGCCTGATTATTGCTTTTATCTTCAAAGCCCAATGTTCCCTGCTGATTTCTGTATTGTTTGCTTCTTTTCTTCTTTGCAGAAAATGAAATCTATGCATGGAGTGCAATCTTGCTGAGAACAATTTGTTTCCTTTCTATATTGTCTCTCCATGCCCTGCTCGCTCCCTTCAGGTACTAATCATAATTATAGTGCTTGAAGATTCAGTGAATTTCATCATTCCTTGTTACCAGCTATGAAAATCATTGATCGTTTCAAGGATTGGCTATTTGTTGAGAAGACTTATTAGGGAAGCCCTAATGAATTCTGAGAGCATGGTCCCTGGACAAGCAGCATTAGAATCACTTGGAAGCTTGTCAGAAATGCAAATTTTCAGGCCCCACTCAGACCTACTGAATTAGAAACACAAGGAATGGGGCCCAGCAATCTTGGTTAACAAGCCTGCCAGGTGATTCTGATGCCTGGTCAGGTTTGAGATTGGCTGTTCTGGAGTACCATCCTTCATCTCACCTCTTACTGTACCAAAGGAAGTGGAGTAGGGGTTGGGGAGACAAGTTGTCCTCAGTTCAGAATATTTGGAATATAAACCTACAGAGATAACTAAGCTTAGTAGAAACAGCACAGGCTGAGATAAACCTTGGCTTAAATTCTGGCTCTGCCTACATGTCTTTGAGCATAGCATTAATACACCCTAAAATGTTATTAACCATTTTGTGACTCAGTGTCCTTAATGCTTTGCAGAAGCTAAATGTTAGTTCTCTTGCCCTTATGTTGTTTAGGCACTAGAAGTGTTTCCACTTGGAAAAATGTGTCTTCCTATGAAAACCATATTTGGTGCCCAGAACCAAATGTATCTGAAATACTAACTTGGCTTTATACTTTAGGTATATTATGGGTTAAAAACACACTTAACAGGCTTTTGTGTGCTGGCTTGGGAACTTTATTATCCATTTATTTCATCATTTAGTCATGCCTTTTAAAAAGCACAATACAATTTCCCTATGGTGAAATATATTCCAAGTTCCAAAAATATAATTTATACATAACTTTTGTGACATGCTCTGTCCATTTGATGTCTCTATGCATCCATTATATCTTTAATGTAATCCAGATAGTCAAACTCAAGGAGCAGGGATTTGGAAGCTCCACAAAATGAGTATCTTTCCTCAATACTAGTAAATAGTCTTTGTAACTAAGTAAAACTCAAAAGCTGTGACTTGTTTTCACTACTGACTACGCTCAGCTGAAAACGAAGAATAAGACATTAGGGCAAACCTGGGCTGACTGAGGCATGGAAGAAAATGGAAACACAGAGTTTGGGCACCTGTTTGGCCATGAAGCCACGTCCATTGTCTCTAGGGTAAGTTCTCACTGAGCCTCCTAGCACCTTAGCCACCACATCATAAGGTGACTTCAATGCTGTAATTCAAGGGCAAGAGCTCTAGACTTTTGAAATGAACCACTCATATCTTTTTTTTTTTTTTTGAGACGGAGTCTCGGTCTGTCGCCCAGGCTGGAGTGCAGTGGCGCGATCTCAGCTCACTGCAAGCTCCGCCTCCCGGGTTCACGCCATTCTCCTGCCTCAGCCTCTCAGGTAGCTGGGACTACAGGTGCCCTCCACCACGCCCGGCTAATTTCTTTTTGTATTTTTAGTAGAGATGGGGTTTCACCATGTTAGCCAGGATGGTCTCGATCTCCTGACCTGGTGACCCGCCCGCCTTGGCCTCCCAAAGTGCTGAGATTACAGGCGTGAGCCACCGCGCCCGGCCCATATATATATTTTTTTTTTTCTAAGAGGAAATGCACAAATGGTGAGAAGAGATCTCAGCTTTTGTTCCAGATCTGTAAGTTTTCTCCTCTTTAAAATTGGCCTGAGCCAGGCGTGGTCCCAGCTAGTCGGGAGGGACCTGTAGTCCCAGCTAGTCGGGAGGCTGAGGCAGGAGGACGGCTTGAGCCCAGGAGTTTTAGGCTGCAGTGAGCTATGATCACACTGCTGCACTCCAGCCTGGGTGACAGAGCAAGATGTTGTCTCTAACAACAACAATAACAAAATTGGTCTGTGAAAATGTAAATGAAGACTGCTAATTTGTGTGAAGCAGTGTGGTTTAGTAGGTAGTGTGTGCATGAGAGGCAGAGGATCTGAGTAACCCTGGCCTTATTTCTTGCACATAATCTAATTTTTTTTTTTTTTTTTGAGATGGAGTCTCGTTCTGTTGCCCAAGCTGGAGTGCAGTGGTGTGATCTTGGCTCACTCCAACCTCCACCTCCTGGGTTCAAGCGATTCTCCTGCCTCAGCCTCCAGAGTAGCTGGGAATACAGGTGTATGCCACCATGCCCAGCTAACTTTTGTATTTTTAATAGAGATGGGGTTTCACCACGTTGGCTAGGCTGGTCTCAAACTCCTGACCTCAGGTGATCCACCTGCCTCGGCCTCCCAAAGTGCTGGGATTACAGGCGTGAGCCACCGTGCCTGACATAATCTGATCTTTGACAAGTTATGTAACCTCTTTCAGCCTAAGTTTTCACATCTGTAAAGGAGTAATAATAATATTAATGATACTCAACCTTCCTAATTCCCAGGGCTATTGTTGTAAGGAAGAAATAAGATGATGTATGTTAACATCTTAACCAGTCTATACGGACATGGAATATTTATCTAGGAAAAAAACCTAGAAAGCCATCAAGTGGAGCTTTTTCGACCACAGGGGGCTCTTTTGATAGCAGAATGAACAGGAAGTAACCACAGATGGAATGGACTTGCATAATGAGAGAGATTTTTTCCAGCCAACATTTAACCCTTTTTCCTGCTTACAGCCAATGACTTTTCATAGCTGGAGAAGGTGTTCATGTATATTTCTCACAGGTACTTTTAGGGGAGTTTCTGCAGAGGGCATTTGTATGGAACTTTTCAACAGTTAGTGGGAATAAATTAGGGCAGTAGAAATACAGTTGAAGAATCTGACCTTGAAAAACTGTAAACGGCAAAGCCATACAAAAGTGAACCTAGTGAAACAGTAAAGTTATGTTTGTCCTGTCACTCATGACTGTGCTTACCCGTCCCGAGGTCTGAAGATTTAGTCTCTGAAGGGATCAAACAGAGAAGCCTCTGGATGGGATGCTCGAGACTTATTTGTGGATGTGAGCACAATACCAGTGAATGCCATGCCAAAAACAGGGATTGAATGGCTATATGCACACTCAATTCAGAATGAAGGCCAGGCATGGTGGCTCACGCCTGTAATCCCAGCACTTTGGGAGGGCAGATCACTTGAGGCCAGGAGTTGGAAACCAGCCTGGCCAACATGGCAAAACTCTGTCTCTACTAAAAATACAAAAATTAGTTGGGTGTGGTGGGACATACCTATAATCCCAGCTACTTGGGAGGCTGAGACATGAAAATCGTTTAAGCCTGGGAGGTGGAGGTTGCATTGAGCTGAGATTGCACCACTGCACTCCATTCTGGGTGACAGAGGGAGACTCTGTCAAAAAAAAAAAAAAAAACCCAAAATGAAGGGACTCATTGTCTTGTTCCTCCAACCAGAACATTGGTACCAAGGACATTACCTCTAGGCAGGAGGATAGAAGGCTTTTCTTTAAGAAATTGACCAGATCAAGAAAAAAATGCCTACATATACTGACATCAGTGTTTTACCCCAACAGGTACCATCTATACAATCCTATAATGAAGTTCAAAGTCAACAAAGCTCATCATATGCTCAGAGTTTCAAATCAGGTTTTCTTCTCTACTGGGTAGTATAAGTAGATGGCCAAGAAGTGCTAGTTATCTGAGAAAGTCTCTAACATGATAGGTTGGGATGAAACAAGCAAAAAACCCACAACAGCTTAAAGAATACACAGGCAAGACAGGAAGAAAAGAAAGTAATAGAAAATAACCTATTATTAAAACCCTCAGAAGGAAAGGAAAGGATACTCCATCTATGGAAAAAAAACCAAGATGCTATCTATAAAAAGAAATATTTGGAGGACAAAAATGTGCTTCTGGAAATTAAAAACATGATACTAGAAATTAGAAACTCAGTAGAACAAAAGGAAATCAGCTAGAAAGTAGAATAAAATATATAGAAATAGAAACTAAGCTAAAAATGTAAGAAAGTTAAAGGATCAGGAGATCTAATATCTGAATAATGTGAGTTTCCAGAGTAAAAGAACAGAGAACACAAAGGGGAGGAAATCATCAAAGAAATAGTTCAAGAAAATTTCTCTGCATTAAAAGACATGAGTTGTCAGATTGGAAGGATCTGTTGAATTTACAACAAAATGAGTAAAGAGAGATTTACAACAATGCACCTGTTGTGAAGTTTCAGAACACTGGGAACAAATAAGTTTCTACAATCTTTGAAAGGAAAAAACTTTATCTTTTTTTGTATTTATCATACAAAGGATTGGTAACAAAAGTGGCTTTGAACTTTTTAATCACAACCTTGAAGATAAGAAAATAATAGAGCAGTGCCTTCCAAATTCAGAAGGAAAATTATTTCCATTCTAGAATTCTATATGTAAACTATCACTTCAATTTGAGAGGTGAAAAACTACTTTTTCAGGTGTGTAAAATCTGTAAAACTGGGTCTTAGGCAACCTTTCTTAAGAGGAATTAGGAGATCCAGTTAGAAGAGAGTCCCCTGGAGGATGAGAAGATCCCAGAATGAGGGCTGTGCCAGTGGTGCAGATTAGAAGAGTAGACTAGAGAGACAGATTGAGTGCTGTCATCCACAATTCCCCTGCTGACATTTACTTTTTTTTCAATTTAGGAAAGCATGCCTGGGTTTCATATTAGCTTCTAATCTTGTCTTGACCACATATTGATGAAATTCCTACATCACTGCTGCTTAGACCTTCTAAGGTCATTTATTTCACCCCACAGAATTTTTCTGTTTTCACTGACTCCTGAAGGCTAGTTGGCAAGTACTGGGGTCAGGTCACGGCAGGTTTAGAAGCAGAAAATACTCAATTCAGAGTACAGTCCATCCATTCAGAATGCTAGACATCCTTTGCCTGACCCACAGGACAGTCCTGTCTGATGGCCCAATTGTGGCAAGCCCTGTTACTGAGGACTCACTGGTATGCCTGGCCCTACGACTTCACCGGAAGGGGCTCTCATAAACATTCAGGGCAGCTGGAGACAGAGCGTGACCTGGAGACTTCTTCAGCTTTTCTTTTCTTGGAAGCCTTCATCTAAAAGTGGTGATATTATCTGTTTTTTTTGTTTTGTTTTGTTTTTGAGACAGAGTCTCGCTCTGTGTCCCAGGCTGGAGTGCAGTGGTGCGATCTCGGCTCACTGCAAGCTCCGCCTCCCGGGTTCACGCCATTGTCCTGCCTCAGCCTCCCGAGTAGCTGGGACTACAGGCGCCCGCCACCGCGCCTGGCTAACGTTTTTTGCATTTTTGGTAGAGATGGGGTTTCACCGTGTTGGCCAGGATGGTCTCCATCTCCTGACTTCGTCGTCCGCCCGCCTCAGCCTCCCAAAGTGCTGGGATTACAGCCGTGAGCCACCGCACCCAGCCGATATTATCTGTTCTTTACAGGGCTAGGGTTGTGCTGACTACTGAGTTTTTCAAAATGAAACAATTATTTTTTAGGGATACATACATTTGTGCTACAACTTAATAAAATGCAAAGGAATGCTTAACATTAAAGTCAGAACAGTGGTTAATTCTCTGGGGAGTGAGGGAGAACAGGGTGTAATTAGGGAAGGGCAGGGAGTAGACTTTAAAATGACTTATAATGTATTAATATTTCTCAGCCTAGGTGATGGGTACATTGTTGTGTAATTCGTACTATTTTGAAAGTGTAGGTTGGGCCTGGTGGCTCACGCCTGTAATCCCAACACTTTGGGAGGCCGGAGCCGGCAGATCGCTTGAGTTCAGGTGTTTGAGACCAGCCTGAGCAACATGGAAAAATCCCATTTCTACAAAAAATGCAAAAATTAGCTGGGTGTGGTGGCATGTGCCTGTAGTCCCAGCTACTTGGGAGGCTGAGGTGGGAGGGTCGCTTGAGCACAGAAAGTTGAGGCTGCAAGTGAGCCAAGATTGCATCACTGCACTGCAGCCTGGGCAACTGAGACCCTGTCTCAAATGAAAGTGTACATATACATTTAATACATTTTTGTCTATTATCTATATTGTAATACAGTTTTTAAAAATTATTTTTAATTTTTATGGATACATAATAGCTGTATGTATTTACGGGGATACATGTGATATTTTGATACAAGCATATAATGTGTAATGATCAAATCAGGGTAACTGGGATATCCATCACTTCAAACATTTATCATTTCTTTGTGTTAGGAACATTCCAATTCTACTCTTTCATTGATTTTGAAATATGAAATAATTATTGTTAGCTATTGTTTCCCTATTGTGATGTCAAACACTAGATCTCATTTTTTTTACCTAACTGTATTTTTTACCCATTGACCAACTCATCTTTGTCCCTGACCCCACTACCCTTCCCAGCCTCTGGTAACCATCCTTCTACTCTCTATCTCCAAGAGTTCAATTTTTTTTCTGCTCCCCCATATGAGTGATAACATGTGATATTTGTCTTTTTGTGCCTAGCTTATCTCACCTAACATAATGTCCTCCAGTTCCATCCGTATTGTTGCAGATGACAGTATCTCATTCTTTTTTCATGGCCAAATAATATTCCATTGTGTATATGTATCACATTTTTTGATCCATTCATTTGTTGGTGAACATTTAGGTTGATTCTCTACCTTGGCTGTGAATAGTGCTGCGATAAACGTAAGTGCAGATAAGAGCGCATAAGAGTGTAGATATCTCTTCGATATATTGCTTTCCTTTCTTTGGGTGTATACCCAACAGTGGGATTGCTGGATCGTATGGTAATTATATTTTTAGATTTTTTGTGAAACCTTCATACTGTTCTCCACCTTGTCTGTACTAATTTGCATTCTCACCACCAGTGAATGAGGGTTTCCCTTTCTCCACATCCTTGCCAACATTCATTACTGCCTGTCTTTTGGATAAGAGCTATTTTAACTGGGGTGAGGTGATATCTCATTGTAGTTTTGATATGCATTTCTCTTATGAGTAATGAGATTGAGGATTTTTTCATATAACTGTTGGTCATTTATATGTCTTTTTTTTTTTTTTTTTTGAGACAGGGTCTTGCTCCATTGCCCAGGTTGGAGAGCAGTGGTGTGATCTCAACTCATTGCAACCTTCACCTCCCAGGTTCAGGCAATTCTCCTGCCTCAGCCTCCTGAGTGGCTGGGATTACAGGCACATGCCACCACGCCCAGGTAATTTTTGTATTTTTAGTAGAGATGGGGATTTTGCCATATTGGCCAGGCTGGTCTCGAACCCCTGACCTCAAGCGATCTGCCCGCCCTGACGTCCTAAAGTGCTGGGATTACAGGCGTGAACCATGGTGCCCAGCCTCGTTTGTATGTCTTCTTTCGAGAGATGTCTATTCCGATCTTTTGCCCATTTTTAAATTGGATTTTTCTTTTTTTGCTATAGAGTTGTTTGAGCTCCTTATATATTGTGGTTATTAATCCTTTGTCAGATGGGTAGTTTGCAGATATTTTCTCCCCTCTGTGAGTTGTCTCTTCACTTTGTTGATTGTTTCTTTTGCTGTGCAGAAACTTTTTAGCTTGAGATGTTCCCAGTTGTCCACTTTTGCTTTGGTTGCCTGTGCTTTTAAGGTCTTACTCAGGAAACATTTGCCCAGAGCAATGTCCTGGAACATTTCCCCAGTGTTTTCTTTTAGTAGTTTTATGGCTTCAGGTCTTAGATGTAAGTCTTTAATCCATTTTCATTTGATTTTTTTTTTTTTTTGAGACTGAGTTTCGCTCTTGTTGCCTAGGCTGGAGTGCAATGGCATGATCTCGGCTCACCGCAACCTCTGCCTCCTGGGTTCAAGCGATTCTCCTGCCTCAGCCTCCTGCATAGCTGGGATTACAGGCATGTGCCACCACGCCCAGCTAGTTTTGCATTTTTAGTAGAGACAGGGTTTCTCCATGTTGGTCAAGCTAGTCTCGAACTCCCGACCTCAGGTGATCCGCCCGCCTCGGCCTCCCAAAGTGCTGGGATTACAGGCATGAGCCACTGCAATTGGCTGATTTGATTTTTATATATGGTGAGAGATAGGGGCCTAGTTTCATTCTTCTGCATATGGATATCTAGTCATAATAGAGTTTTGAAATACAAATGGACCCAAAGTTATGCAGCAGATGGGGGATTCCTAGAGTGGATGCTTGGGTTATGTTGAGCTCCAAACCCCAAGGCTTAAGGTAGAATGATTTTGGTTCTGATAGACGGAGGAAACTCCCAATTCCTTAGTATTAAATTCTCCTAGGAAGCTATTTTCTGACTTGCAGTGCCCTGTTCTGCAAGGATCGAGTCACAGGAAACATCAAGAAAGATGTGGTTAGTTCTTTACCAACTGCTGGACTGCTGGAATGTCCTCTGCCTTGATTCAGATGTTACTGGGGTGGGAGGGAAGCCCCTAATTATAGTCAGTTACTGACTCATATCCATACTTTGCTCATGGTTATTTCCTCTGAGAAGAAAATATGTGGTATTTTTGCCTAATGGGTGCGTATGTGTGTGTTGTTTATTATCTCTCCACAACGTCTTTACATGACCTTTAGCTGTAGGGTTGGGCCTTCCTAGGAGCTCTTAAGTCAGCTCCAGCTGTGCACACTGCTGCTGGATTGCTTTCACAGGCACACCCAGAATGTGGGTGTGGCATTGAAATACACAGCTCTCTGGGGTGTCATTTCACACTACCTGCTGTGGTCAGTAGCAACTGAACAGGATCTGGAAGCACACCTGCTCCTAGGAACTAGTCAGGACTCCCTAGGTTACAAGGAGCAGAAACCCAATGCACAGATTTAAAGGCAAAAAAGACTTACTGGCATATGTAACTGCATAGCATTGGAGGAGATTCAGGTACAGCTGGATCCAGGCCCCCACAGGATCATTGGAAGCTATTTCTATCTGCTTTCTTCTGTATTGGCCTCTTTTCAGGTGCACTCTCCCCCATCTGGTGGCCTGGGGCATATACAGTCTTCTGTTAATATTTTACTTGCTTATTAACTCCAGTATTTTTTATATACTGAGTTCTTTTTGAATGCTCTCTCTCTCAATAATTCCAGCAAAGGTTTGGAGACTTTTAATGGTCCAGCTAGGGCTATGTAACCATCTCTGAAGCAATCACATTGGCTAGGGCGGTAGAGTGGTCTCACCAAGAGGACACACATGCCCACCCCATTTCTGAGGCAGGGGCTTAGATCCACATGACACGGATTGAGAAAAGAAAGGTAGCTTTTGTTATAACAACTATTTGTACATACAAACTTCTCTGGAGTTAATTTTAGATAACTAATTTTTGAATACAGCGAAGTTTGAAATGATAGATTATAAACCTAATTTGTGAACATCGTCTTCCTACCTAACCGTATTTTATGAATTTCCACACTTAATGAAAATATGCTTTAAAAACATAGAAGTTTTCAATTCAAATGAGTAAGAAAGTTTCTGTACCGGGCATGGTGGCTCATGCCTGTAATCCCAGTACTTTGGGAGGCTGAGGTGGGCAGATCACTTGAGGTCAGGAGTTTGCGACCAGCCTGGACAACATGGTGAAACCTCATCTCTACTAAAAATACAAAAATTAGCTGGGCGTGGTCGTGGGAGCCTGTAATCCCAGCTACCTGGGAGACTGAGGCAGAAGAATCACTTGAACGTGGGAGGCAGAGGTTGCACTTAGCCAACATCCTGCCACTGCATTCCAGCCCGGTCGACTGAGCGAGACTCCGTCTCAAATATATATATATATATATATATATATATATATATATGTTTTTTTTTTAATAAAGCAATTGGGCAGCAACAGAGCGCTTATGTCTTTATATCGAATGGAAGAAAAACCCAATAGAAGAAATCTACTGCTTCTGACAGATCTTAGGGCATAATTTATTCAGACTTGGGGCCTTGAGTTCAATTTGATTCATTGAAAGCTCAGGAAACATTTTGGTTTGGTTTAAAGACTTGCCCATTTAGTTTTCCTACTGAAGGGATTTCTAACACAGTACCTGGAAAAAGAAAGTGTTTCTAGATTGAAGGAGTTTGCTGCAAATCTTCTCTCTTATTAAAGAAATACTCGTATTTCTGACTTCATATTTTCCCTTCTCTGAGGGGGCTTGTATTCTCTTTCATTGCACAGGGGTAAGATGCATTTTGGAGATGCGTTGCTTGATTTTAACTTCTGGCTCTGTTTCTCTGACTGTGACTTCATCAGAAAGCTAGTCACTCAGTGCCTTTCTATGCTTCCATTTCCTCATCTGTGAAAACCTACATAGGATAACCTACAGAAACTACTTAGGATGGTGCCTGGCACGTAGTAAGCCCTTTATTGGTGTTTGCTACCACTATTGTTATTTCATGAGCTCTCAAAGCACACAACCACAAGCCTGTTTTACTTCTGGTTGAGATGAAGCTTGGAGGGCAGAGGGCAGACGCCTGAAGCTAAGCAGCTTATTAAAAGTAGAATAGAAATAGATGAGAGGAAACCAAAGTGCTTTTCTCTTTAGATAGTTATCAAAGCACGCTTCGCTGCAGACTATGGGCTTGGGTATGGCCAGAGATCAAAGGCCCTCTTATGTGCAGTGACATTTCTGAGCACAGGGCTGAGTTATAAAACCCTTGAATGGAAGGTTTTGGAACTTGGAACACGGCTTGGGCTAGAAGGGCAGGGTTTTTATAGAGGCGATTCATGGAAGCGCTTATGCTGGTGAAGAACCCAGACTGTTATGACTCACTTGTCTCTTTATTGCTTTGGACCAAGAACTGTTGTTTCCTTTTAAGTGCCCCTGTAGGAGATGAGCTACAGACTAGGGCCAAGATAACTCTTGCAGGAAGACAGAGTGGCTTCAGTGAGTGTGAACGGGAATACCGCCTTGTTGGGCTCTGGGTCAAGTGTCCTGGACGAGCAGAATAAGGATTTTATTTTACCAGGGTAGAATTGCTTTTGGAAACTGGCAGCATCCTTAAAATCTTAAACTTCAGATAAGCTTTCCTTTTGTCTGTCTGCCATTTTCATTCTCTGAAAGCCCAAACTAAATTTGATGGTGTGACAAGTAGAGGACAGAAGAACAACTTTGGAAAGTAGAAATTAATGTGTCTGGGCTGCTACATATAGAACTAGGGATAGCAGAAGGGGTCATTTGAAGTCCAGGTTGCCTGAGGTCCTGCTAGATCTCCTGGGAAAAACTGAAGGGGACTTTTGGACTGATGGTGAGGCCTCGTGCGGTAGGCAGACTCCTAAGATATATTGCAGTGCTCTCTAACTCCTGGTCCTTACCTCTTTAGGTAAGCTCCTCCCCTTGTGTTCAGGCCAGACCTATTGACCTGCTTCTCATGAATGGAATATGACAAAAGCAATGGGATGTCACTTTCATGATGAGGTTGCAAGAGGTTGTGATTTCTACTTTGCTAGGAATCTCTCTTGCTGCTGCTTTCTCCTCTCTATTGACTTCTTGGCTTGTGTGCTTTGATGCTGAAACCAGCTGCCATGTTGGAGGAACCTGCAAGGCAAGAAATCCAGGGCAGCTTCTAGTCAGCATCCAGCAGAGAACTGGGTCCTCAGCCCAACGGCCCAAAAGGAAGTGAAACCTGCCAACAGCCACCGGATGAGTTTGGAAGTATATCTTGTCCCAGTTGAACCTTGTGTTGACTGTAGCCCAACTGGAGTAATTTTCAATGCAGCAATAGATAAAGAATATACCAGGTCAGTAAAATGTACTGTCTTGAACAAGGAGGGAAACAAAGATTACCCTCAAACTCTGGGGCTTTGGATACTCTTTATGAGTTTGGAACTTATTGTGAAGTAGCAGATCATCCAGAATTCAAGGAGACAGTGGTTCTTGGTCCCTGGGAGATCCTAGGTAATGTTATGGTCTCCAATACAGTGCTTGGCAGTTATTCCAAGACATTTGAGAAAGGATGCTAAAGCCAAGAGTGCCAGGATTGCTTTGGAACTCCTAATTGAAGCTGAAGTCACTGGTTGGGAGAAAATCTCCTCCTTGGTGAACAGGAGCAGGAAGTATTAAGTGTGGGGAAAGACAGAGGCAAATCCAAGTCTTTATTTATTTATAATTCTGGTTTCAGAATGGAGCTACCACATGGTCAGGAGGAAGAGACTCACAAAGAAAGATGAAGGTTGCAGAGAGGTGCTATGGAAATAGCACATGCTAAAGGAGTCTTCTAAGCAGCCCAGAGGCGATGACATACCAGTGCCAGCAGAGGAGGAGAACCACGCTTCAGTATAACAAAAACTTCAATGAATCATGCTCAATGTGGAAAAGTCGAATAGACATGGCTGAGGATAAAAGAAAAGAACGTACACATAATCTCACTACCCAGAGAGAAGCAATGTTGACATATTTCTCTTCCTCAATGCATATTTATATATTGTTGATATTTTTACTGTCTGTGCAATTTTGCTTTAATTAAACATTTAGATTATGAAATAATTCAAACATACCAAAACAATATGTCACCAAGTGTGGCAGTTTGGATTAAGATGGGTGGCAATAGAATGAGTTCCTCTTCATTCCAGGCAATAACATGGGCTTAGACAAGAAAGACATTTATTTTTCTGTCACCTAAACTGTGTCTGTAGATGGTCAATCCAGGGCTGGTTTGGCAGTTCTATATCATCAGCACTGGGGATGCAACCTCCACCTCTCTGGTGTGCCATTCTTGGGATGCCTTTGCATTTGCAAGATGGTTGTTGGAACTCCAGAAATCTCACCCACATCCTACCCCATAGGAATTCCTCTTTCTCTCTAAAGAAACTCCCAAGAATGTTTATACCACACTTTCATTCATATCTTGTTGGCTAAAATGTAGTAACGTGGCCACATCTAATTGCGTGATAGGTGGGAAATGAAGTTTTAATTCAAGATGATGTGGCCAGCTAAAAAATTCTTTGCCAGGCCGTGGAACCAACAACCAGATTTAACATATGATGTCACTTCACTAATTTGGATCTCTTTTTTTTTTTTTTTTTAATTTATTTTTTTATTGATATAATTTGGATCTCTTTAAAAATTTTTTAAATTAAGAAATGAAGAGTTAGGCCAGGTGCAGTGGCTCATGCCTGTAATCCCAGAACTTTGGGAGGCTGAGGAAGGTAGATCGCTTGAGCCCAGGAGTTTGATACCAGCCTGGGCAACATGACAAAACCCTGTCTCTACTAAAAACACAAAAAATTAGCCAGGTGTGGTGGCATGTGTCTGTAATCCCAGCTGCTTGGGAGGCTGAGATGGAAGGATCTCCTGAGCCCAGAGAGTTTGAGGTTGCAGTGAGCTGTGATAGCCCCACAGTACTCTAGCCTGGGTGACAGAGTGAAACCCTATCTCAAAATAAAAAAAAAAAGAAATAAGAGTTAAAGATATAGATAGACTCTACTTTCACCAAGGATATAGAAAGCTAAAAAAGTATTACTCCCACATAACAAGAAAAAGCCAGATAAACTGCAACATTATAACTTTTCTTAAACCCATCTGAGAATTCAGTTTGGAGGGTGACTAAGCAGCCTGAAATCCAAGCAAAGACCGGCCCCTCTGAGAAGAGAGAAGATCCACACATTAGCTCCCCTTTGGGCAGAGCATGGGTGGTAGAAACATTGGGTACCATATTAGTAGGTAAGAAGTCAACTAAAATTTGTAATGATTTGGTAAAAGCTGAGTATGGGCTACAGTGACAGTATAGAAACCTTGGGATCCCAGACACCAGGGAAGTTCACACTTAGTAGTAGTTTCTTCTCCATGGACTTCTGTTGATTGCTCACAAGAAAGATTGAGTCACGGAGGGAGAACAGAAAGTTCTCTAGTTGGTTAAGAACTGAAGGATGGAGGAAATTGGTCCCTGCCACAGGAGACTCCTCCCCTATGGAACCAAAGCCATGAGCTATTGAAGGAGAAGCGGCCAACTGAGAGGTAGCACCACATTGAGGGAGCACCACAGGGAGCTGGGGGAAAGGTCAAAGACAACATTCTTTCTATGCCAGGGAAAGGGGTAGGAAAACATTCTAAGTATGAATGCTATACCAATACAACTAGCAGCCTCCTACTGGTGGGGAAAGTGCAGGAAGTTATGTCTTGCACAAGAGCTAAAGAAGAAAGCAGAATTTGGCTTACAGTGGGGAAGAAAGGCAGGATCAGTAAGAAAGTCATACCTCTGAGACCCAGGCACAAACAGCTTACCAGTTTAACAGAAAATCCTCTTCTTTCCAACAGAGAATTCCCCCTTCTGTCCCTCCCCCTGCCCCACAAAATCAGGTGAGCAAGCACTGAGTTTCAAGCATTTCAGCTTACTACTGCGGAAGAGACAAGAGCATGGGAGGAGATCCTCTGTGTAGTGCACACACATGGGAAGGCTGAAAGCTAAGCGTGGAGTAGAGATGTTTAGAAAAACCCTCCGGCATCCAGCCCCCGTACCAAGCACAAGGTCACACTAGAGGAATCTGAAGCCACTGGTTCACTAGTTACACTGAAGGTAACTATAGCAACAAAATCCCCTTCTCAGTTCCTGACCAGATTGACTCACCCTCCCTGCCCCACTAATAAGCTAATTTTAAAAACTTGTAAATGTGGCGGGGTGCAGTGGCTCATGCCTGTAATCCCAGCACTTTGGGAGGCTGGGGCAGGTGGATCACCTGAGATCAGGAGTTTGAGACCAGCCTGGACAACATGATGAAACCCTGTCTCTACTGAAAATACAAAAATTAGCCAGGTGTGGTGGTGCGCGTCTGTAATCCCAGCTACTCGGGAGGCTGAGGCATGAGAATCACTTGAACCCGGGAGGCAGAGGTTGCAGTGAGCCGAGATTGCGCCATTGCATTCCAGCCTGGGTGACAGAGCAAGACTCTGTCTCAAAAAAAAAAAAAAATGTGTATCCATTTTCAGGCACAAGTGCTATTTATCTTCATCTTTATTCTACACACACTGTCCAGCAGTCAGTAAAAAAAAAAAAAATTACAAGATATACACATAAGAAAAAAAGCCTGATTAAGGATGAATAAAACCAATTTATCTATTTTTAGTTTTAGTTTTTAAAAAATTTCAATAGCTTTTGAGGTACAGATGGTTTTGGGCTAATGGAAGAATTATATGGTGGTGAGTTCTGAGATTTTAGTGCACCCATCACCTGAGTAGTGTACACTGAACCCAATATGTAGTTTTTTTGTCCCACAACCGCTTCTTACTCTCCCTGTTCAGAGGCTCCATAGTGCAGTATATCATTCTGTATGCCTTTGTGTCCTCATAGCTTAGCTCCCACTTATAAGTGAGAATGTACCATGTTTGATTTTCCATTTCTGAGTTACTTCACTTAGAATAATAGCCTCGAATTTCATCCAAGTTGTTGCAAGCATTATTTTGTTCCTTTTTATGGCTGAGTAGTATTCTATGGTGTATATCACATTTTCTTTATTGACTCATTAGTCGATGGGCACTTAGGTTGGTTCCATATCTTTGCAATTGTGAATTGGGCTGCAATAAACATACACGTACATTATTTTTTCATATAATGACTTACTTTCCTTTGGATAGATACCCTGGAGTGGGATTGATGGATCAAATGGTAGATCTACTTTTAGATCTAGATTTCTTTAAGAAATCTCCACACTGTTTTCCATAGAGGTTGTAATAATTTACATTCCCAGCAGCAGTGTATAAGCATTCCCTTTTCACTACTTCCACACCAACATCTATTTTTTTGACTTTTTAATAATGACCATTCTGGCAGAAGTAAGGTGATATCTCATTTTGGCATTAATTTGCAGTCCCCTGATGATTACTGATGTTGAGCATTTTTTCATATGTTTGTTGGCCATTTGTATATCTTCTTTTGAGAAATATTATTCATATTTTTTGCCCACTTTTTGATGGGGCTATTTTTTTTTCTTGCTGACTCGTTTGAGTTCCTTGTAGATTCTGGATACTAGTCCTTTCTCAGATACACAGCGTGCAAATATTTTCTCCTAATCTATGGGTTATCTGTTTACTCTGCTGATTATTTTTTGTGCTGTGCAGAGGCTTTTAAATTTAATCAGGTCTCATTTATTTATTTTTGTCGCAGTTGCAGTTGCTTTTGGGGTTTTAGTTATAAATTCTTTGCCTAAGCCAATGTCCAGAAGAGTTTTCTTAAGGTTACCTTCTAGGATTTTTATGGTTTTGAGTTTTAGATTTAAGTCTTTGATTCACCTTGAGTTAATTTTTGTATAATGTGAGCAATAGGGATCCAGTTTCATTCTTCTAAATGTGGCTAGCCAGTTTTCCCAGCACCTTTTATTAAGTAGGGTAATCTTTCTCCAATTTATGTTTTTGTATGCTTTGTTGAAGATCAGTTGGCTGTAAATATTTGCCTTCATTTCTAGGTCCTCTATTCTGTTGCATTTGCCTAAGTGCCTGCTTTTATACCAGTACCACGCTGTTTTGGTATCTATAGCCTTGTAGTATAACTTGAAGTCTGGTAATGGGATGCCTCCAGATTTGTTCTTTTTGTTTAGGATTGCTTTGACTATTCTGGCTCTTTTTTGTTCCATATGAATTTTAGGATTGTTTTTCTAATTCTGTGAAAAATGATATTGGTATTTTGATGAAATTGCATTGAATCCATAGATTGCTTTGGGCAGTATGTTCATTTTCACAAGATTGATTCTTCCAACCCACAAACATGGGATGTGTTTCCATTTGTGTCATCTATGATTTCTTCCAACAGTGTTTTGTAGTTCTCCTTGCAGGTACCTTTCATTTCCTTGGTTAGGTAAATTCCTAGGTTTTTTGTTTTTTGTTTGTTTGTTTGTTTGTTTTTTTTTTGCAGCTGTTGTAAAAGAGATTGAGTTCTGGATTTGATTCTTAGCTTGGCCATTGTTGGTGTATAACAGCGCTACTGATTTGTGTACACTGATTTGGTAATCTGGGACTTTACTGAATTAATTTATCAAATCTAGGAGTCTTTTGGAGAAGTCTTTAGGGCTTTCTAGGTATATGATAATACCATCAGTGAACAGTTATAGTTTGAGTTCCTCTTTTCCAATTTGGTTGCCCTATATTTCTTCCTCCTGTCTGATTGCTCTGGCCAGGACTTCCAGTAATATATTGAATAGAAGTGGTGAAAGTGGGCATCCTTGTCTTGTTCCAGCTCTCAGGGGGAATGCTTTCAACCTTTTCTTATTCAATATGGTTTTGGCTGTGGATTTGTCATATATGGTTTTTATTAATTTGGGTACTTTATTAACTTGAAAATTTATTAAGTACTTTCTATGCCTAGTTTGTTGAGGGTTTTTTAAATCATAAAGTGATGCTGAATTTTATCAAATCCTTTCTCTGCATCTACTGAGATGATAATATAGTTTTTGTTTTTAATTCTATTTATGTGATGTATTACATTTATTGACTTGCATATGTTAAACCATCCCTGCACCCCTGGGATGAAACCAACTTGATTACAGTGTGTTGTCTTTTTGATGTGCTGTTGGATTTGGTTAGCTAGTGTTTTATTGAGGTTTTTGCATGTGTATTCATCAGGAATATTGGTCTGGAGTTTTCTTTTTTTTGTTATGTCCTTTCTTGGTTTTGGTATCAGGGTGATACTAGCTTCATAGAATGATTTAAAGAGGATTCCCTCTTTCTCATTCTTTTGGAATAGTTTCAGTAGTATTAGTACCAACTCTTCCTTGAATGTCTGGTAGAATTCAGCTATGAATCCATCTGGCCCTGGAATTTTTTTTTTGTTGGCATTTTAAAAAACGTACTGATTCAATCTCATTGCTTGTTAGTGGTCTGTTCAGGGTTTCTGTTTCTTCCTGATCTAATCTAGGAGGGTTGTATGCTTCCAGGAATGTATCCATTTCCTCTAGGTTTTCTGTTTTGTGTGCATAGAGGTGTTCAGAGTAGTCTCCAATAACATTTTGTATTTCTGTAGTGTTGGTTGTATGTCTCCGGTTTCATTTCTAATTGAGCCTATTTGAATCTTCTCTCTTCTTTTCTTGGTTAATCTAGCTAATGGTCTATCAGTTTTGTTTATCTTTTCAAAGAATCAGCTTTTTGTTTCATTGATCTTTTGTATTTTTTTGGTTTCAATTTCATTTAGTTCTGCTCTCATCTTTGTTATTTCTTTTCTTCTTCTTCTTCTTCTTCTTCTTCTTCTTCTTCTTCTTCTTCTTCTTCCTCCTCCTCTTCTTCTTCTTCTTCTTGTTTTCTTCTTCTTCATTTTTTGAGACAGAGTCTTACTCTGTCATTCAGGCTGCCGTGCAGTGGCATGGTCTTGGTTCACTGCAACCTCCACTTCCTGGGTTCAAGTGATTCTCGTGCCTCAGCCTCCTGAGTAGCTAGGATTATAGGCACTCATCATCATGCCTGGCTAATTTTTGTATTTTTAGTAGATATGGGATTTCACCATGTTGGCCAGGCTGGTCTCGAACTCCTGACTTCAAGTGACCTGCTGTCCTCGGCCTCCCCAGAGTTCTGGGATTACAGGTGTGAGCCACTGTGTCCAGCCTAACTGTGTTTTTTTTAAATTTCTTTTCCCCCCCTTAAGGATGTGACTTAAATGTTTATAGTTTATTGTAACCTAATTCAGGAGTGAAGGCTTTGTATGCTTTCAGGGGTGCTTTCAGGGGTGAAGGCTCTGTATGAGTTCCTTGGTTGTAGAGTCTTTGGATGATGGCTTATTCAGATGCTGGTTGTAGTAGCACTGTGCTCAGTGCGTGAGCAAGTTCACTGTCTCCCATAGGATTGGAATGACAGAGGTCTCTTGAAGCTTATCTCATTCCCCCATATTATGCACTTCTTTATTTATTTGTCCCCAAGTATTTTATTTACTGGGTTGAATAGTCCAGGCTTCAGACCAAAAGGGGAGCTAGGCCATGGGTGAAAACCAGCTGTGGCTAAAGCAGGTGGGTAAATGCAATAACCAATGATGGACAGAGGTCCCTGCCTTGACAGAGATGGCTGGGGGAACTCTCAGTGAAGCATGCTGAGGTCTTATCAGAAGGAAGGACTGGAGCCACCTCAGCTCTTCTGCCAGGCCAGCAGGAGAGCGATCCACCTCCCAGACAAACTCTTGATCCAGTGTTCTGGCTATTTAGAGCAGATAAGCACCTCTACTCATCTGCAGGAATGTTGATGTTCCAAGCAGAGAGGAATTGTGACTCTGTCTCTTGTGCAAGCCTGCACCTGGAGGGTGCTCCTCCAGTAGGGATGCAGTCACCCTGAAGTGTTCCAGAGAGGCTGTCTAGAGGTGCACCCACACTGAGTTCCCATGGGAAAAGCCCCAGCTGTGTTTGCAGTGGTGAATGAGGTAGAAAAGAAATCCCCCTCTCCAAGGCCCTTCACAAACACCAACACTGCCTGACTTGTCGGGGGAGAGCTACAGATTTTCCCTGCTGATCCCACCACTGCAATTGTGCCTCTGCTGAAGGAAACTTCCCACCAGCAGAAAGACCCGAGACTCAAGGCTTGCCACCTGGGTTCTTTTGTCCCACAGGGTGTTCCCTTGATGGGGTGCATTCCCCCTTCCTTTAGGAGTGGGAGGCCCTGAGAGCCAGACTACTGTGAATGCTGTTACTCCTCTGAGTCTAGCCACCCAATGCGGCTGCCACACTGTAGCCTGGTACTAGGGAATATCTGCAAGGGATCCAGATTTATGACCTGCTCTCAAGTCTCCCAGTAGCAGGTACCAGCACCAGCTCTAACAGGAGTGGCAGGGGAGTGACATAGACTCAGAGATTCCTTGGTTATAGAAAGTCTTCGTGTATTGGCTTCCTCAAATGCCCATTTGGGTAGTAATAAGTAGGTCACATGGGCAGATTCAGGACCTCCTGGTTAGCCAGAGTGGTGCAGGCAATGGTGATGGCTGGGTTCACACACAAGTTTTCTCCTTCCTGGGCACAGTGTTATTCTACCTGCAGATGCTGTAATGGACGGTGTGAGTTGGCCTCCAGCCAGGAAGTGATGCTTGCCAAAGAGCACCAGCTATAGCAGAAGTGATGGGATTTGTGCTTGCCTTATGCTACCCAGGGCTGGTACTTTGGATAATCAGGCAAGGGGTGGGGCCATAAAGCTCTGAAAAGTTTCTGTTTTTTGTGCTCCTAAAAGTTTCTGTCTTTCGTGTTAAGCTACCAGGGCAGGTGGTGGGCAAAGCAGGTGGGGGCTGGGTCAGGCAGGTCCATGTTTTGACTCTTCACATGTGGTGCTAGCAGTGGCCCCTGTGGGAGTTGTGGAGGTGGTTCTTTGGCCATTGGGATCATGTTCCAGAGAGGAGCATAACTGCATCTGCTGCATAGAAGAGTTCACGTAGGGAGTGGGGAGTAACAGGCAGCAGTAAGCCCCACCCAGCTCCCGTGCACTTGGCAAGGCAGATCTCTTACCTGCAGTATTCTGCTAGCAGCAGCCAGCTAAGTTCCTGGCCATCTATGCTTAGAACTCAAAACTTCCTTGGGCCATAAGCCTTCCCCTGTGGAGACAAGAACCATGGCTTTCAGGCCATGCCCCTGCCAGTCTGCCTGCACAGCCGGGGCACCCGGCTCATTTGCTCATGCCTGCAGCACACTTCCCATTCGCTCCCGGGTTCTGGCCAAGGGAGTTCTTCCCCACTCGAGGTTATATCGTGAAATTCAGTTGGGAGCTTCTTTTAATTAACTCAGGCAATGGCTGCTGCCTGAGTAAGTTGGCAGACTTTTGTGAGGTCTCCTGTGTGGCAGAATAAGGAATGGCTTCCCTTGGTCGATGCTGGAGACTGGGAGTGCATGCAGAGTTCTTCCTGCTGCCGTTTGTGCTTTAATATTCCTCTCCACTCTCAAAATCAGTTCCAGTGTTGGTTAAGGCCTTTCCCTGTGGCCTAGATTACCAGGTTCCCTGGTGGGGGTGTATACCCTGGAGGCAGTCACTTCCCCTCTCACATTCTGGGGACTTACAGTTTTTTTTTTTGTTGTTGTTGTTGTTTTGTTTTGTTTTTAACCTGGCTGGTGCCATAGGCTGCAGCCTGCTACTTTAAAAAAATAATCTGTGGGCCAGGTGTGGTGGCTTATGCCTGTAATCCCAGCACTTTGGGAGCCCAAGGCAGGTGGATCACTTGAGGTCAGGAATTTGAGACCAGCCTGGGCAACATGGTGAAACCCCGTCTCTACTAAAAATACAAAAATTAACTGGTGGTGATGCATGTCTGTAGTCCCAGCCACTCGGAAGGCTGAGGCAGGAGAATTGCTTGAACCCGGGAGGCGGAGTTGCAGTGAACTGAGATTGTGCCACTCCACTCCAGCCTGGGTGACAGAGTGAGACTCCATCTCAGACAAATAAAATAAAAATAATCTGTGGATTTTAGTTTTCCTGTTTAGTTCCTGCAGTGTTCCTTGGGAATAAAGTCACAGGGTGAATATATACAGGCTATTTTGTCTTTCCAAGTGGGAGTGACATGTGAACACTACCTCCAATCTGTCATCTTGGAGAATAAAAGCAATCCTAAAGACTACCTAGATGTTGAGACTATCTGGGAACTTAAAATAACTATGATTAATATGTTAAAGGCTCCATTGGAAAATGGAAACAACATGTATGAATAGACGGATTTCAGTAGAGAGATAAAATATATGAAAGAGTCAAATTTAATTGATAGAAATAAAAAACAAGGTAACAGATATGAATTATGTCAATGAGCAGTTCAGGAGACTTTACATTGCTGAGGAAAGAATATATGAACCTGAAGACAGGTCGTTAAAAATTATGCAAACCAAAACCCAAAGAGAAAAAAAAGTAAAAACCCCAGAGCACCCAAAAGCTGTGAGACAATATCGAATGGTCTAACATAAGTGTAATTAGAGTACCAGAAGAAGAAGAGAGAAACAGTGAGGTAGGAGACATAAACTATATTACTCACCCCATTTTTTCTTCTTAAAGCTAACCACTTATCCTAAAGTGAGTGTGTATTACTTCCATCCTGTTTTAATACTTTTTAGTATAGCTAAATGTACCACCAAATATGTGTATATGTTCAGACCTGAATGGATTTGAAACAATGGAGTTGCTTTTGTTTTTAAATGTATATAAATGGCATCATGTATCGTTTTTGTAATTTACTTTTTTAAATTAAAAATGAACATTCATTAAGTTTTACTGGATAGTATCCCATTATATAGTTTACTTATTCCCCAAATGATAGAAAAACTGGTTTATTTTAGTTTTTACTATTATAAAATTATATATATAATATAATAATACATAATATATTATTATATATATAATATAATAATATATAATATATTATTATATATATAATATAATAATATATAATATATTATTATATATATAATATAATAATATATAATATATTATTATATATATAATATAATAATATATAATATATTATTATATATAATTAGTTTTTACTAATATAAAATTATTGCAATTCTGCAATAAATATATTTACACATGACATTGTGAACATGTGAATTTCATAATGTATTCCGCAGTGTGCAATTCTGAGTTGAGAAAAAGCAGTTTTTTTTTTTTTAGAAGAGTCTCGCTCTGTCACCCAGGCTGGAGTGCAGTGGTGTCATCTCAGATCACTGCAACCTCCACCTCCCTTCAAGTAATTCTCCTGCCTCACCCTCCCAAGTAGCTGGGATTATTGGTGCCCACCACTATACCTGGCTAATTTTTGTATTTTTAGTAGAGATGGGGTCTCACCAGGTTGGCCAGGCTGCTCTCGAACTCCTGACCTCAGCTGATCTGTCTCTGCCTCCCAGAGTCCTGAGATTATAGGCATGACCACCGCGCCCCACAAGAAAAAGCAATTTTCAATATTACTATGGCCAAATTGTTCATTAAAGTGGTTAAACTGATTTACACCTCCACTAGCAGTGAATAATATTTCTAATTCTTGACATTTTCATAAACACTTAGTATTATCAGACTCTTAATTGCTGCCAAATTATAGGTGTAAAATTATTGTTGTTTTAATTTGCATTTTCCCTGAACATCTTTTTTTTTTTTTTTTTTTGAGACAGTCTTGCTCTGTCACTCACGTCGGACTGCAGTGGTGCCATCTTGGCTCACTGCAACCTCCACCTCTTGGGTTCAAGCAATTCTCATGCCTCATCCTCCCAAGAAGCTGAGATTACAGGCATCCGCCACCACACCTGGCTAATTTCTTTTATATTTTTAGTAGAGACAGGGTTTTGCCATGTTGGCCAGGCTGGTCTCGAACTCCTGGCCTCAAGTGATCTGCTCACCTTGACCTCCCAAAGTGCTGAGATTATAGGCATGAGCCACTGTGTCCAGCCCTGAATATCTTTTTGTACCTTTATTGGACATTTATGTTTCTGTTTATGTAAATTCCATGATCATATTATTTGCCCATTTTTAATGGCATTGTTTGTCTTTTTCCTATTATTTTGCAAGATACCTTTATCCCAGTTGATTAGTCTTTGTTTATTATATGCTTATCTGTGGCTGGCCTTTTATTTTTGTTATGAGCTCCTTTTTATACAGATATTAGAATTTTAATTTGTAAAATTTAACAATTGTTCTCTTTGTGTTTTTGCTGCCTTATGAAGTGCTTTTTTACTGTAATATCATAAAATTACATTTTCCTCTATTTTCTTCCCAAGTGCTAGAAATATTGTTTTTCACATTTGCAAGTTGTTATATGTGAGATAGGGTCTCATTTATCATTTTCTTCATGAAGCCAATTGTCCTGGTACTATATTTTTAATTATGCTTTCTTTCCCCAGTGTTTTCAAATATCACTGTTGTCAAGTTTCAAGTTGCCACTTATATGTGGGTGGGTCTGCTTTTAGGCTTCTTATTCTGTTCTCTTGGCCTGTTTTTCTGTCTTGGTGCCTCTTCTATTTTCTTCACTTAACATTATTTCATGGGAATATATGAGGAAATTTAGAGGTGGCCAACAGTGTCTGGACCACTGAGAGAACAGCTGTAAGAACTAGAGTGTTTATTTTTCTTCCTTTTGGGGCTTTATTTTTAATTGACAAATGATAATTGTATATATTTGTAGGGTATAATGTGATATGTCAATACATGTATGCGTTGTGGAATGAGCAAATCAGGCTAATTTTGAGGAATTATGATTCTTGATGAGCTTACTGGGCATAGACTGGAGAACCAGTGACTACTCCAAAACCCTCTGGATCACTGCTCTCATTAAATATGATGAGCAAGCCACATGGCTGGCGCTGTAAGTGTGATGACAGGCTTTGGGGAAAAGGAAAGGGGAACTTCAGCCTGTTCTCGTCCCATATTCTTTCACCTGAAAGTTTATTTGAATTATTGAAATTCTTACCATAGCTTAGATTATTAAAAATTAAACCTTCTGGTGGAAGAGGCAACATACTTACGTACCAGAGTAGGGAATTGTTTTAAAGAAACACAAATGTTCCCCGCTTTTTTCTCATAAGGTAATAAAAAGTGAAGGTGGAAGAAATCTTTGAGATCCTCTAGTACAGGTCGCCCAGATGGAATTTTAAGAAGTTTGTTATACTGATGTACTGTGTTCTTAGGACAGTTGTGGAGGAAGAGCAAGAGTCATTTTAAGTCAGAAGAAAGTGATTTCACTAATACTCCCTGGCTCGCTTGACATTTGTCTTCTGAAGTTGGAGGGTCTAGGGCAGCTCTATGACTCATACCTGAAAAGTCTAAAATCAGGAGGCCATGGTTGGAGATGTTCCTGCCTGGCAGCAGAGTGACAGGTGATGGCTGTACCCTGAGCCACACTTTCACTAATAATGGGCAAAGATGCCTGTTTTTAGAGCTGTGGAAAGGAAGATTTGAACTGGAATAAATTTATATTATTCATATTACATTGGACTAGTCCCAAATTGTGTAATTATTAGGTTATTTGAAATTTTATGCAGGAATAGGGAAGAAACTGCAGAGAAAGTTTGAAGGGGTGGGGAGAAATAATCAAGTTAGTTTTTTTTTCTTATACTCCTTTGGGTCCTGCTTAATGAAAACACTAGTTAAAAATGAATCTTCAGGTCAGGTGCAGTTGTTCACACCTGTGATCCCAGCACTTTGGGAGGCCAAGGCGGGTGGATCACCTGAGGCCAGGAGTTCGAGACAAGACTGGCCAACACAGTGAAAATTCGTCTCTATTAAAAATACAAAAATTAGCCAGGCATGGTAGTGCGCACCTGTAATCCTAGCTACTCAGGAGGCTGAGGCAGGAGAATGGCTTGAATCCAGGAGGTGGAGGTCCCAGTGAGCAGAGATCCTGCCACTGCACTCCAGCCTGGGCAACAAAGCGAGACTCCATCTCAAAAAAAAAAATGTATATATGTATATGTGTGTGTATATATATGCATATGTATGTGTGTGTGTGTGTGTATAATATATATATTATATATATATATATATGAATCTTCAGATTGGGGGATCATAACAAGTCACAACTAAGATAAAATAAACATTAGGTAAAGTCACAAAGAGAATATATTTTTTAAATTCCTGCCTGCCCCTCCCAACCCCTCTGAGAATATCATGTGACTCTAAATGTGTGATACTCTGAGGATCCAACATCACCTGTGTGATATTCTGGGCAAAAATGAATAACCGGAATCTAATAAAGAAATATCAGACAAACAAAATGAGAAACATTGTATTTAAAAATTTGGGGGAAAGGAGTATAATAAAACTGTCCATGTAATAAAAGGCAAAAGCTACATAAATAGTCCAGATTCAGGAAGGCTTAAAATATATAACAACTAAATGCAATGCCTGAGAAGAGACTGGGTTGTGTACTTGAGGTGGGGAGATGGGGGAAGAATGTAATAAAGGACATTACCAGGCCAGCTGATGAAACCAGGAGAAGAATGGAAGATTAATAAAAATGTATCATTGTTAAATTTATTAAAGTTGATAACTGAGCTGAGGGTTATACAAGAGAGTGTCTGTACTCTTAAGAAATGCACACTGAAGTATTTAGGGGTAAAGAGCACAGTATGCATACCATATCCTCAAGTGGTTCAGAAATAATTTTTTTTTTTTTTGAGATAGAGTGTTGCTCTTGTTGCCCAGGCTGGAGTGTAGTGGTGCAATCTAGGCTCACTGCAACCTCTGCCTCCCAGGTTCAAGCGATTCTCCTGCCTCAGCCTCCCGAGTAGCTGTGATTACAGGCGCTGGCCACCATGCCCCGCTGATTTTTTGTGTTTTTAGTAGAGACGGGGTTTCACCGTGTTAGTCAGGCTGGTCGTGAACTCCTGACCTCAAATGATCCACCTGCCTCAGCCTCCCAAAGCGATAGTACTACAGTCATGAGCTACCGTGCCCAGCTGCAGAACTATAACATTTTAATATCCTAATATTTTCTTTGTAATTCATGCATGTTAAAATGTTAAGATTATTTTTATTTTTAAATTTGTGTTATTATTTATTTATTTATTTATTTAGAGATAGGGTCTTAATCTGTTGCCCAGGCTGGAGTGCAGTGGTGAGATTTTGGCTCACTGCAGCCTGTAAGGCTTAAGAGATCCTCCTGCCTCAGCCTCCTGAGTAGCTGGGACTACAGGTGTGCACCATCACACCTAGCTAATTTTTGTGGTTTGTTTTTTTTTTTTTTTTTGTAGAGATGGTGTTTTGTCATGTTGCTCACACTGGTCTCGAACTCCTGGGCTCAAACCATCTGGCCACCTCAGCCTCCCAAAGTGCTGGGTTTATAGGCATGAGCCACCAAGCCCATTCTAAAATTTAAGATAAGAAAAAAAAAATCTATAACTTCTTAAATGGTTAGGGGAAAAGAGAGGGAATAAAGAAAACAAGATACCCTCCCTTTTCCAAAAAAGGGCAAGGAAACGAAAAGCATAAAAGTAGAAATACACAAAATAAATAGTGAAAATATATTTCACTATATTGCCAATCGCAGGGAATATAAGTATGTATAAAATATAAAACCATATAGAAGTCAAAACAAACTAATCAGATCTATATGTATCAACACAAACAAGTCTCAGACACATTGTACTGCGTTTATAAAATAAGATCCAAAAAGATATCATAGTAAGGGACCCGTTTGTAAATTTAAAAAATGACATAAAACAACGTTGTATATTGTTTATAGATACAAATATATGTAGCAAAATTATAGATGCAATAATACACACCAACTTAATGATAGTGTTTATTTCTGGAGATGAGAGAGGGCAGGAATGGGAGAAAGAGATGAGAGTAAATTTTTTTTTTTTGAGACAGGGTCTCACACCGTCGCCCCGGCTGGAGTGCAGTGGCACAATCTTAGCTCACTGCAACCTCCACCTCCCAGGTTCAAGTGATTCTTGTGCCTCAGGCTCCCAAGTAACTGGAATTACAGGTGTGTGCCACCACTCCTGATTAATTTTTGTATTTTTTTTTTTAAGTGAAGACAGGGTTTCACCATGTTGGCCAGGCTGGTCTTGAGCTCCCAGCCTCAAGTGATCTGCCTGCCTCGGCCTCCCTAACTGCTGGGATTATAGGAATGAGCCACTGCACCCGGCCTATGAGAGTGATCTTAACTGTATCTGCAATTTTTTCCTTAAAAAACAGAAAATAACAATTCTGAAACAACACATAACTAAAAGTTAATGTGTTACATCTGGGTTGACCACAAATGGGTGTCTGTTATATTTATTTCTGGATTTTTCTGTGCATTTAAATTATTTGATAATTAAATCTCTGTATTTTCTATTTCTTAATTACATTTTTCTAAGGACATAGAGAGGATGCAGTCCTGCTTTCACAGGTGCTGGCTGAGGTGCTTATTAAAATACAGCTACTAAAAATAGTGCCAGAACTATATTGAGTGGGGGGTTGCAGGTAAGGGAGCTGAGTCCTCATCTGTCATAGCAGGAAGACAATGCGTAATGTGTGATGCTGGTTATTTGTGGGCCTAGGGTCCCTCCCAGTTTCATGCTCTTCCCTGCTCCACTGAATCCAGTGGACTGCACTGTCCAGGCTTTCTTCCTAGCTGGCTTTTGGGGTTCAGCCAGTGGGAGGCTCTGTGGGAAGATGGGAGGGTGGGATTCAGCAGAGGTCAGGGTAGCTCTTTCCAGCTCTCTTCCTGCTTTGGCATGCTATATCTAACTGTAGCTGCATCCTAGGTACAACTCTTACTCACTGGGCTCTGATAAGTGTTTCCTTCCCTTGTCTCAATAGGCCCTGGAAGCGGGGAGGGTAGTAATAGCTTCTCACCATTGCTAGTCTCTAGGTGTCCTACCATACCTTGTTTGTTACCTTATCCAGTCCAGAAACTCTGTGAATAGTCCCTTCATTAAAGCCTTTTCATTTTAACCATCTGGGATGACACAAGAAACACTGTGAAAGGTAAAAATTGCTTTTGTTTGTTTGTTTGTTTGTTTCAGAACTCCTTTGCTGTGGATAAGAAGATTGACTAGGTGACTTGCTCCAAGTTCAAAGCCTGTTTGCATAAAACAACAACGACTTGTCTTTGTTCTGTTTGGTTATTTTGAGACAGGGTCTTGCTCTGTCATTCAGGTTGGAGGGCAGTGGTGCAATCATGGCTCACTGTAGCCTTGACCTCCTGGGGTCAGATGATTCTCCCCCCTCAGCCGCCTGAGTAGCTGGGACCACAGGTGCATGCTATCACGCCCAGCTAGTATTTTTAAATGATTTTTGTAGAGATGGGATCTCCCTATGCTGCCCAGGCTGGTCTTGAACTCCTGAGCCCAAGCAATCCTCCTGCCTTGGCCTTCCAAAGTGCTGAGGTTACAGGCGTGAGCCACCGCACCTGGTCACAACTTGATTTGAGAGCGTATGGTTGACAACATCTTGATGAAAAGGGATATGGCTGGCCAGGCATGGTGGCTCACACCTGTAATCCCAGCACATTGGAAGGCCAAGGTGGGCAGATCATGAGGTCAGGAGTTCAAGACCAACCTGGCCAACATGGCGAAACCCCATCTCTACTAAAAATTGAAAAATTAGCTGGGTGTGGTGGGGGGTGGCTGTAGTCCCAGCTACTCAGGAGGTTGAGGCAGGAGAATCGCTTGAACCCGGGAGGTGGAGGATGCAGTGAGCCGAGATAGTGCCACTGCAGTCCAGCCTGGGTGACAGAGAGAGAATCCATCTCAAAAAAAAAAAAAAAAAAAGGGATATGGCTGATACACACAGAAAGATCTACTCTCCTAAGACCTTGTGCCCCAAGAATTTTATGACTTCTTGGATGGTATCAATTGTGTTTTATGATTGATTTATTCATTTACTTGATAAGTTTTGATCGAGTGCGGCTCTGTACCAAGAACTGTGTCAAGAAATGGGGATACATTGTTGTGCGAGAGGAAGTCCTCATGTGCCAGGAATTTACAGTAGACAGGGGAAGATACGCAAACTCATTACGAAGAAATACGGTAAATGCGAGGGGAATGGAAGCAGAGGGTGCTCTGGAGTACTCAGGAGGATTATTCAGCCCAGCCTTATACTGTCAGGGATAGTTTCCCAAAAGAAAGGATATCTAACCTGAGAGCAGAAGAATAAATACTAGTTAGCCAAGTTAAGGAGGATGGGTAGATGGGAGGGAGTGAGTTTTAGTTTTAAGGCATTCTAGGTAGAGAGAAAAGCAATTTGGGCAAATCTGGTAGGGGATAAAAATCATTTGGGAAACTGAAAGTCAGCCTCTTGAGTTGATTGCAGGAGGAGAGGGTGAGATAAGTTAGGAGAAGAAAAACAGGGATCGGATCACAAAAAGCCTTTTAAGTAAGATTAAGGGCAGGGGTATTATTATGAGGTCAATACAAAGCCATTAGATCTTTTGAGTAGGTGGTATACAGTGTAATCGCATTTGCATTTTTAAAACATTATCTTGTCTATGCGGTGAGAATAAACTGGAGGTGGATAAGAGCAGAGGCAGCTCCCTTAGGAGGTTGTTGCTGTATCCTAGGCCAGAGATCATGAGTTGGACTTGAGGCTGGGGCTGGAGAGAAGCGGCCAGAGAAGAACATATGGCTAAAACAGGCAACCTGAAAACATTCAGGAAATTATTGTCATTAGAGGACAGCCCGGCAAAATGCAAATTGTTCTGTCCTTATTTGATCTCAGCTGGACTATGAATTCTGTGGGGACAGGGACTATTTTGTATTCATCCCCGTTTCCAGTACTACGGAAGTACTCAGGAAATGAATGTTCTTCCTAAGTGAGTCTCAGTGACATGGTGTTTGGATAGAGTGGTAACCCTCACGCCTTTGCTGACCCACCTTTATTAGGGAAGTTCAGCAGCGATTGTGAAGTCGACGTGTAGCGCTACCGCGGCAGGGACATTAAGGTGCAGAAGCTTTACCCAGTGCACAGTGCACACTGAAATACCCAGGCTGGTTTTTCCTGACTCAGTTCTCTTCTGCCATCTGCTGGGACAGTCTTTCATAGCACATCAAAGCAAGATCACCAAGGAAGACAGGCCTGAAAGCTTTGTGGGAGCCACAGTGGACAATGACTTGGATAAGTTTACGATTTAGTCAGAGATGCAAGAATCACATCCAAACCACTGTCCATTTGAAGCTAATCTTCAGTATTTATTTCCCAAAGACTAAATGTCTTTTTTATAAGAATGAGTTCATGTCCTTTGCAGGGACGTGGATGAAGCTGGAAACCATCATCCTCAGCAAACTAAGACAGGAACAGAAAACCAGACACTGTGTGTTCTCACTCATAAGCGGGAGTTGAACAATGAGAACACATGGACACAGGGAGGAAAACATCACACACGGGCCTGTTGGGGGGTAGGGGGCAAGAGGAGGGAGAGCATTAGGACAAATACCTAATGTATACGGGAATTAAAACCAAGATGACAGGTTGATAGGTGCAGCAAACCACCATAGCACAAGGATACTTTTTTTTTTTTTTTTTTTTTTTCTGATACAGAGTCTCGCTCTGTCTCCCAGGCTCTGGAGTGCAGTGGCGCAAACTCGGCTCACTGCAAGCTCCGCCTCCCGGGTTCACGCCATTCTCCTGCCTCAGCCTTCCGAGTAGCTGGGACTACAGGTGCCCGCCACCACGCCCGGCTAATTTCTTTTTGTATTTTTAGTAGAGACGAGGTTTCACCGTGTTAGCCAGGATGGTCTCGATCTCCTGACCTCGTGATCCACCCGCCTCGGCCTCCCAAAGTGCTGGGATTACAGGCGTGAGCCACCGCGCCCGGCCGCACATGGATACTTATGTAACAAACATGCAGGTTCTGCACATGTATCCCAGAACTTAAAAAAAAAAAAGTCTTTTTTTTTTTTTGAGATAAAGTCTTGCCTTGTCACCCAGGCTCCAGGCTGGGGTGCAGTGGCATGAACATGGCTCAGTGTAGCCTAGCCTCCTCCTGGGTTCGAGAAATCCTCCCACCTCAGCCTCCCAAAGTGCTGAGATTTCAGGCGTGAGCCGTCATGCCGGCCCATGCAGACTATCTTAAATGTCTGTATTCTCCTTTGAGTTTTTGCAACAACTTTACGATAGCCATATATTATAACATTTTTTAAACAAGGAAACAGAAACACAGACATTTAAATGAAAAGCTAACTTTGAACAAAAAATAAGTAGCCCGAGCCAGGACTGAAGCTTCCTTGACTCCTGGTTCCATACTTTTGTCACAATGTCTCAACGTCTCCAACACACTAAGGGAGAGTTCCAACAGGCCGAGACAGGCTGCTGATCTGCAGCAGGGAGAGGGCAGGCCTAATGTGAAGGCTGACAAGGCCGGTGGCTCCCTGATGTTCAGCACAGAGATGCAGAATGTTGGCATGGAGTGGGGTGGGGGAGAGCAACAGAAACAATTCTCCACGTTCTATGTTTCCCCCAAGATATGTCAAGGTGATGTTTCCGAGGGAAACATTTTTTTTAAGTATATGAAAACTAATAGAACTTGAACTTTTGGTGGGTGTTGTCAAATAAAATAGACCCTACTATTTTTGTTAACGCGTGTGGTTAAGACTAAGAAACTATTGTGCCATCCTTTTCTCTCTCTCTCTCTCTGTTTTTTTTTTTTTTTTTTTTTTTTTTTTGAGACAGGGTCTCACTCTGTCGCCCAGGCTGGAGTGCAGTAGTGAGATCATAGCTCACTGCAGCCTTGAAAAGCTGGGCTGAAGCAATCCTCCTGCCTCAACCTCCCAAGTAGCTGGGACTACAGGCATGTGCCACCACATCTGGCTAATTATTTTTTATTTTTGTGGAGACAAAGTCTTGCTATGTTGCAAGGAATCCTCCTGTCTCACCCTCCCAAAGCACAGCGATTACAGGTGTGAGCCACTGCACCTAGCCAACTTTTCTCATTTAAACTGAAGTTATTCTTGTATGAATGCCCAAATACATTCTTGGTATTAAAAAATCCAGACACTCAGGTAATGCTAAACATTCCTTTTACTACAGGTTTCAAGCTTTTCCCCAAAGACAACCTCAGTCAGGAGTATGCTTCCAGATCTTCTAGGAAATATGGGTGTTCCTATGGGAGCATAGTCTTGTTTAGTGTTTTATCTCCCTTACATGAATGGGATCTTGTTCCCCATTCCCCTCCCCAGGCCTCTGGAAACCATCTTCTACTTTCTGTCTTATGAATTCAACTACTGTAGGTGCTTCATGTAAGTGAAATCACACAGTATTTGTCCTTTTCTGACTGGCTTATTTCACTTAGCATCATGTTTCGAAGATTCTTCCATGTGGTAGCCTGTGCCAGGATTTCTTTCTTAAGCTGCATAATATTCCATTGTATGCATGTACCACGTTTGGTTTATCCATTCTTCTGTTGGTGGACACTCAGTTTGCTTCCACCCTGTGGGCTATTGTGAGTAAGTCCGCCATGAACATAGGTGTACAAGTATCTCTTTGAATTCCCGCTTTCCATTCTTTGGGGTATATGCCCATAAGTGCTGCAGCAGCTTTCTGAGTACATTTCAGGCTGTGGGTGTCTTCTTCACTTGAATACCCCTTGCATTTGGGCTGTTTACCATAGTTACCCACTGATGTAGTTTGGATTTATCCCCCTGCAAAAGTCTTGTATCAAATTGTAATCCCCAGTGTTGGAGGTGGGGCCTGGTGGAAGGTGACTGGATCACGGGAGTGGATCCTTCATAAATGGTTTAGCACCATTCCTTTGGTGCTGTATTCGTGACAGAATTCTCACGAGATCTGGTTGTTTAAAGGTATGTAGCACCTCCCCGCTGTCTCCCTCCTGCTCCGGCCATTTGAAGTGCCTCTGTCTCCCTTCACCTTCCGCCATGATTGGAAGCTTCCTGAAGGCTCCCCAGAAGCAGAAGCCGCTGTGCTTCCTATACAGCCTGCAGAACCATGAGCCAATTAAACCTCTTTTCTTTATAAATTTCCCAGTCTCAAGTGTTTCTTTATCGCAGTGCAAAAATGGACTAATATACCCACCCACCAAGGGCACTCCTTTTTCCTTTCTAGGGTAGCTATAGGCTTAAACAAGTCGTTCTCCATTTGTAAAGATTTGGGGCAGGAGAAAGAAGTTGTTCTCAGGCTCCTGTACTGTAAGACTCAGTTCGAATGTCCCAGCCTCTGTTATCTTCCCCGATCAATCTAGGGACTGAGTGCCCTTCTCCTTTTCACTGCAGTCGCACTGTGCTCTCTTATTTACCAGCGCAGTGTTGCTGCTCTTTGTTTAGAGTCCCATCTTCCTCAGGATCCTGGGAACTCCTTGAGGGAGAAGATTGTGCCTTTTCAGTCTTTGATCTGCTGTATTGTACACAGTGGACAGTGTCTACTTTTAAATTTTTAATTAATTTGAAAAACATCTTTAATAATTATATACAGTTAAAAAATTCAGGACCGGACGCAGTGGCTCACACCTGTAATCCCAGCATTTTGGGAGGCCGAGGCTGGTGGATCACTTGAGGTCAGGAGTTCAAGACCAGCCCGACCAAAATGGCGAAACCCCGTCTCTACTAAAAATACAAAAAATAGCTGGGCATAGTAGCCGGTGCTTGTAATCCCAGCTACTGGGGAGGCTGAGGCAGGGGAATCACTTGAACCCAGGAGGCAGAGGTTGCAGTGAGCTGAGATTGCATCACTGCACTCCAGCCTGGGCAACAAGAGTGAAACTCTATCTCAAAAAAAAAAAAAAAAAAAAAAAAAATTCAGGCCAGGCGCAGTGGCTCATGCCTGTAATCCCAGCACTCTGGGAGGCTGAGGAGGGAGGATCACAAGGTTAGGAGTTCAAGACCAGCTTGACCAACACGGTGAAACCCCATCTCTACTAAAAATTAAAATAAAAAAAATTAGCTGGGCATGGTGGCGTGTGCCTGTAATCCCAGCTACTCCAGAGGCTGAGGCAGGAGAATCACTTAAACCCAGGAGGTGGATGTTGCAATGAGCCAAGATCGCGCCACTGCACACTCCAGCCTGGGTGACAGAGCAGGACTTCGTCTCAAAAAAAAAAAAAAAAAAATTCAAAGAACAAATAAAAGGTTGGTAAATGTTAACTTCCCCCTCCCTATCTTTGTGCTACACTTCAGAAAGAAACATGTCTGTTTCAATTTTCAGTCCTCTGAGTGGTAATCAGCTTCTCTAAGTAGTAAACTTGAACCACTATGCCACCAACCCTGTAGGAGACAATCTATTGGCTTCTGCTTTGGTTGATGAGAATTTAGTTCACCTGTACCACCAGCCACCTTGCCTGCCCCCATTGATTTCAAGCCTTCACCCCGTCCACGCCCATCTCCAGGCCCGTTTCCTTGTGGCTTTGCAGTTCGGCCCACTTACATATCCTGTTTTTTACTTTGGGTTCAGCCATATCATGTGCTTTGGATAATGGGATGTTTGCAGGCATGATGTAAGTAGGGGTTAGAAAAATGCTTGTGGTTCTGGGCACAGTGGCTCACGCCTGTAATCCCAGCACTTTGGGAGGCTGAGGTGGGCAGATCACTTGAGGCCAGGAGCTCGAGACCAGCCTGGCCAACATGATGAGACCCCGTGTCTACTAAAAATACAAAAAATTAGCAGGGTGTGGTAGTGTAGACCTGTAATCCCAGCTACTCAGGAGGCTGAGCGGGGAGAATTGCTTGAACCTGGGAGGCAGAAGTTGCAGTGAGCCGAGATAGTGCCACTGCACTCCAGCCTGGGTGACAGAGCAAGACTCCATCAAAAAAGAGAGAAAGAGAGAGAGAGAGAGAGGAAGGAAGGAAGGAAGGAAGAGAGAAAGATGCTTGTGCAGTAGGCTGTGTTCTGTTGTACCTCTGTCATCATCTGGCTAGCCTGCTGGTCTTGGGAGAAGGATAGAAGATGTAGGGCAACACCATCCCAGTGAATTGTAGACTTGCAGACAAGGAGCAAAGCAATCTGGCCAGCCCAGCTAGATCAAGTGAATTCTAGCACATCTGTAGATGGGTGAACAATCATAAATGATTATTGTATAAAGCCACTGAGTTTTGGGGTAGTTTGTTATGCAGCAGAAGCTAACTAATACATACCTTGATCTACCTTCCCAGTCCCCCTCCTCCTTCTCCAGTTATATCACCATTTTTGTTCCTCAATTGTTATCAGTTTAACCTTTCTCATTTCATTAATTATTAATGGTATCACTTCTCTCCCCATTTTTTTTTTTTTTTTTTTTTGAGATGGAGTCTCACTCTTGTTGCCTAGGCTGGAGTGCAATGGTGTGGTCTCGGCTCACTACAACCTCTGCCTTCTGGGTTCAAGCGATTCTCCTGCCTCAACCTCCTGAGTGGCTGGGATTACAGGTGCCTGCCACCACACCCAGCTAATTTTTGTGTTTTTAGTAGAGACGGGGTTTCACCGTGTTGGCCAGGCTAGTCTTGAACTCCTGACCTTAAGTGATCTGCCCACCTTGGCCTCCCAAAGTGCTGGGATGACAGGTGTGAGCCAGTGTACCCGGCCCCCATTTGGTATCATAAGTTTATTTTCACTCTTCTTCCTTCCACTCCACTCACCACTTTCCAACAACTGCTTTCCATCAGCTACAGCTTAGCTTTTACACAGAGATGTTTGATTTCACTAACATTTTGTTTGTAATAGAACTTTCAAACACTTGGGGCTTTCTAAGTCCATCAGGTTTCTATGGAGGAAAACTGACAAGATACTCTTTTACAGCAAACCTACAATTTCCCATGAGCTAGTTTAATGTGTTTCTCTTTCTTGCAATCAAATGATCCCAGATTAATACACCCTCAGTCCCATCAAATCTCCTGGGACCGAAATGTAAGCAGTAGGAAGACTGAATGGCAGGATGAGACTTCTTTGCATTGAAGTCTCATCAATTGAGTTTTAGCAGTGGTAATATAACCCTGGGATGTTTCCTCTCTGACAACTCTTTCTGCTGTCACAAACATTTGTGCTAGTAGCAGATAGCACACATCAATTAAATGTAACAACTGTCCTTTACAAAGCTCTGTCTTAATTAGTAAAGATCAATTAAACCAAGTTGGGCATTGTGCCCAGGAAGTCAGTGTGGCATTTAACAAGAAGGATATTCTCGGTTGATACACTTTGCCATAAATTTTTTACCAGATAAAATTAAAAAATTTGGAGATGAAAATGAGTAGATATTTTGTAAGGTTTAGGCTGGAGATGGTGATGTTGGAACTGAAATTATCAATTGGTAGGAATGCTATCCTTGGGTTTGAGGAAGCTCAGATCTTTCCTGACCCATCCACACCTCCATGGTTCAGAGAGTGTAATGAGGGACTTTTCCCTTCTGTGGACATTGGTTCCTTTATTTCTCCCATATTTGCTGGAATCATGAAAAGAACCTGGATTTGGGAGTAGACAGTTTTACATTTGAGCAGCTGCTTTACCATGGCTTGGCAAGTGGAACTTGGGCAAGTTCCTTAATGTTTCTGATCTTCAGTTCCCTCAAATAAGGAAAATAAATAAATGCTGAATAGGTTCTGCTGTGAAGAGTGAATGAGCCAAGCATATCATATGCTTGAGTCATAGAACATCACAAAAGGTAGCTGCTTTTATTCTTACTATTATTATTCATCACCTTGGGACACATATTTATCTTCATATTTAACTTAGCTCACTTTATTATCCCATACAATTTACAGTGATAATGTACTTTCCCCCCTGATATCCTTTCTTCTGTGATAACTCCAAGATCTCTCCTCCCTCCGGGATATTCCTTGATTCTTGGATGCTGTCTCTTCCAGCAGAGAAAACCGGAAAACAAGGGTGTCTAGGATTTTTGGCTGTTTTTGCTTATCCTAACACACAGTGGCGCTGTTGAAACAAACAATCTTGCCACTGGGTGCCAACCTCCTGGTCCAATGCCCAGAGATCTTAGAGAACCAGATAGGCACCTCCGTGGAATATAGAGATCTGGCAGCAGCTGCTATAGCCCATCACAGCCTCGTGGAGAGACAACTTTTATTTAAGTACGGCTTGTGATGACTATCATGTGTGCAGGAGGGATCCTCACCCTGGTGTGCCCTGCCTGTGTCTGAGGCTCAGTCCTGCTCCCCTGTTTAATTACTATGAACTTTGAGTTGACACATCCAGAACCTCCATGACAAGTGATTTCTCTCCATGCAGCTACCACCAGACTCAAGTAATGAGCATTCTTCTCCCTGGCAGTATTCACTTGCAGGTTCCTGCCACAAAGACGCCCTTGTAGGGAACCAGCTCTGAATAAAGCTTGGAAAGCTCACACCTCTCTGGGCACTTCTCTGCCCAGATGAGTTCCTTGGACCTGGATGTTTCTGCCCACACTCATGAGACCTGGGCTGGAATTAGAAAGCTGTCAGTGCTGAGGGAATGTTGGAATTAACATCACTTGTTCACTTTCGCCTTTTAAGCCAAATCTCAGGACTTTAAATGTATTGAGGGCGTTTGCCATGAGAAGGAGGGGCATGAAGAGATATCCAAGATAAATGGTTTAATCGGGAAAACAAATTGGCAAACTAGGTGTATAACATGATCCTATTTCCCTGTTTTTTCTTTTGTACTTCTCTATTGTCTGAATTTAATGTACAGTTATAAAGAGTGTGAATTAGTTTTACACATAGTAAAAAATGATAAAGATTTTAAAAACCACCCTATTCTGCCAGCAAGTTGGTTGGAAATAGAGGCTTCAACTGAAAGAAAAAAGTAGGGGGATAATGTGGTGCCTTTATCACGATTGCTTTTGGAAAAACTGAAAAATCAAAATTATTTGCTTCTAGCATTATATAATCCAGAATCAAAATTATTTTAATATTTTTAAATTTATTTTTGAGACTGAGTTTCACTCCGTCACCCAGGCTGGAGTGCAGTGGTGCAATCTCAGCTCACTGCAACCTCCACCTCCCGAGTTCAAGCAATTCTCCTGCCCCAGCCTCCTGAATAGCTGGGACAAAATTATTGTTTAAATGAGCACAAAATAAAATTCATAAGGTAATATAAAACTATATTGTGAGCCGGCCTTTGCTTCCTTAAAATGATTTCTAAAGAGATCAAAACAATTTCAAGGGCCAGGTGCAGTGGCTCATGCCTGTAATCTCAGCACTTTGGGAGGCCCAGGAGTTTGAGACCAGCCTGGGCAACATAGTAGGACCCCATCTCTACAAAAATTTAAAAAATCAGCTGGGCATGGTAGTGCATGCCTGTAATCCCAGCTACTTGGGAGGCTGAGGCAGGAGGATCACTTGAAGCCTGGGAGGTCCAAGCTGCAGTGAGCCAAGATTGTGCCAGTGCACTCCAGTCTGAGTGACAAAGCAAGACCCTATCTCAAACAAAACAAAACATCCCTATCAAAGTCTAACAGTAACCACACACTAAGGACAACAGCAGAATCAGGCAAGAGCAGATGGTGTTTCTGTCTCCTTGTGGCCAAGAAAGATTTCTATGCCTTCCTTTCATGTAGGCTTCTTTCTTCTGTTTTTACTTTTGATCGAGCGGTTAGTGGCTATATTCTTTATATTTGATTATGCCTCCACAATATAGAGTGTCTGAGCAGCATCCCTCTATTCAGTTAGAGAGATTAAAAACTGAGGAGATGAGGGAAATTGACATTTAATGGATACCAACTAGTACTGAGCACTGGGCGAGTGACTTTACTGCCTTCGTGGCTAAGAAGCCTATGTCCAAGAGGGTTTAAGAGCAAATTCAAAGGTGCTGGCTTTTCTTTTTTATTTTTTTATTTATTTTTTATTTCTATTTTTTATTTTTGAGACAGAGTCTTGTTTGCTACCCAGGCTGGAGCGCAGTGGTGCGATCTCGGCTCACTGCAAGCTCTGCCTCCCGGGTTCACACCGTTCTCCTGCCTCAGCCTCCCATGTAGCTGGGACTACAGGCGCCCGCCACATGCCCGGCTAATTTTTTGTATTAGTAGAGACGGGGTTTCACCATAGCCAGGACGGTCTTGATCTCCTGACCTCATGATCTGCCCGCCTCGGCCTCCCAAAGTGCTGGGATTATAAGCATGAGCTACCGCGCCCGGCCAAGCTGCTGGCTTTTCAAGACACTTGGTCCTTGGATCCTGCATCTATGAATGTGGGAATTGCAAATATGTATACTCCTTTATGGAAGGGAAGAATTCAAATTTTTCCAAATATATATTCAAGTCTATTTTAGCTGCATATGTTTTCTGTATTAATTGGGTGATGTTAGCTGCTGTAGCAGATTAACACCACTTCTCAGTGGATTAACACGAACAAACATATTTCTCTGTTAGTTTCCTGGTCCATACTGGTTGGGAAGTGTTCAGTATGGCTACTCAGAGCCCAGGAGCCTTCTATCCTGTGGCTCTGCCCTCTGCTCGGTCCCCAGAGTTCTTTTCATTCAGTGGATGGGTCAGGGAGAGCGATTGTGTGGAAGACACACATGTTTCTTAGTCACTTTGACCTAGAGGAGACAACAGCACAGCATCATTTCCTTGGTGAGAACTAGTCCTGCCTAGAACTGGGGCTGGGCAGCCCCTTCGCACAACGACTGTGCACGGTGGAAAGGATCACTTATCTTTGATGGTCAGCCGATCCTTTCTACCACGGGTATACGCATGACTCCAATCAATGATTCTGGAAAAATGTAATATTTGATGTCCTCAAAGTCACTTTCCAACTTCAGCAGTGAAAATGGCAAGAAAGAGGTCATTTGGAGTCTACTTAGAGAGAAGGTTGAGATTCAGATCAGGCATCCTGGAGCTTCCTGTTTGTATTTGCACAAGCAGTCTATCTCCAGACCTGGTATCTCCTCAGCAAGTTGGTCAGAGGGCAGGCAGAAGCATATCTATCTGTCAACAATTTTTTTTTCCTTAGATGGAGTCTTGTTCTGTTGCCCAGGCAGGAGTGCAGTGGCGCAATCTCGGCTCACTGCAACCTCCGCCTCCTGGGTTCAAGCGATTCTTCTGCCTCAGCCTCCCAAGTAGCTGGAACTACAGGCATGTGCCACCACACCCAGCTAATTTTTGTGTTTTTTGTAGAGACGGGGTTTCACCATGTTGGCCAGGATGGTCTCAATCTCCTGACTTCATGATCCACCCGCCTCGGCCTCCCAAAGTGCTGGGATTACAGGTGTGAGCCACTGTGCCCAGCCCCATCTGTATCACTGATGAGGATTTATTTCCCAATCAGCAACCCTGGACAACCAAATAGTGCAAACAACTACATGTATGAATGACTCCCAGGGGTTTCTTTTTTTTTTTTTGGCAAGATGGTATCTTAAGAGCAGGAAAAAATTGACCAAGTTCTTATGAGGGAGAAATAAATTATTCCAGCATGCCGCTGTCAATAACCATAAATAAGTCGCCATAAATAAGATCTAGGTCTTACAAATGTGTCTGCTACCCGGGACAAGCCCAGAGCCAAATCACATCTCACTATCCAGAACGTGGTTGACAAATGTGCCAGTTTCCCTTAGACACACAGCATATTCCTTGCTGCAGTATAATTGGAGTTTTTAAAAAAACTTTTTAACAGAAGATTCCATAGAAGAGGAACAGAAGAGTGAGCGGTTGGGATCAGTGTGAGCCTCATAACTATCTCTTTAGTGTCTGACTTGCATCTGTTCAAGTAGGTCTGTTTTATTAATGCTTACTGGCCTAAAGCTATAGCCATAATATTAAAGATGCAATGTTAGCACAGCACTGACATATAGATTGTTTTCCATAAGAAAGAAATTAATGCTCGTGTAGGATATTGAAGCCCTGGCTTTCCTCCAACTTTCTGGCCTCCATGTTCAAAGGCTGGATTAAAGATACAGATTACAAAGGGGCCCCTAAGGGGGTTACCATTAAGAATGGGGTAGAGATCAATGAAAGCTAGACTAGGGGACTAAGGCTGAGATATCACCTCACCTCAGTGTGAGACCCGACTTCCTCCCCATTGCTGAATCCTCAAGCATCAGGTAATCCATATGGACTAGCAGGTACTTGGTAAAGAAGGAAACAAAGTGATCCCTTGACTCACAAACATCCAAACAGCTTTGTCAGGCAGGTAGCAGAATTTCATTTATCATAAATGCTGGGGTCCTTTTGTCACTAAGAATAAGACAGTGTAGCCACCTCCAGTTTGATCCAGGCCAATATTCATGCTCAAAATATTGAAGGGTGGAGCATATAAATTCAGTTTCTAGGCAGCTGCCATCTTGGATACCAGGGACTCTGAGGCCCTAGCCCAGGAGGCCCCTCCAAGCAGAAGAGAACAACGAGAGTCTCAACCACAAGAGAAGGTGGGGGTTGAGTGGGAAGATCACAACCCAGTAACTTGGTCCGTGCTTCAGGGCAGGACTCCAGACCCATGAATAGAGAGGGCCTTAGAAACCAGAGGCTGGGTGGAGGGAAAGACGCACCAATGGAGTGCACTCAGAATTGGGAGCCAGGGGACTGGAGGTGATGCTGCTGCAGACTCCTCAAGATGTTCAGACCAGATGCGTCTGATAAAAGAAAACTGACTCCTCAGGAACTCCCTCTCCTGTGGGAACAAGTTCCTCTTGGGAATGGTTGCTTCCATGGGTTCCGGGTCAGAGGGAGATTAGACTGTGGCTGACCAGCCTGAGTAGGGCTTTGTTCCTGAGCTGGGCTTGGCAAAGTTCTTCTGCAAAGAGTAGTAAATATTTTTATTTTTATTTATATATATTTATATATTTAGAGAGAGTCTTGCTCTGTTGCCCAGGCTGGAGTGCAGTGGTGTGATCTTAGCTCACTGCAGCCTTTGCCTCCCAGGTTCAAATGATTCTCCTGCCTCAGCCTCCCTAGTAGCTGGGATGACAGGCGTGCAACACCACGCTCTACTAATTTTTTGTATTTTTAGTAGAAACAGGGTTTCACCATGTTGGCCAGGCTGGTCTCTAATTCCTGGCCTCAAGTAATCTGCCTCCCTCAGCCTTCCAAAGTGCTGAGATTACAGGCGTGAGCCACCATGCCTGGCCAAGAGTAGTAAATATTTTTAGCTTTGCAGGCCATAGGCTCTGTCTTGCTGTCACTCAGTTCTGCCCTTGTAGCACAGAAGCAGCCACAGACAATATGCAAAAAATGGGCACGGCTGCATTTCCCACCCCCCCGAAACAAAACCTTTATTTACAAAAACAGGCAGTGGGCCAGATTTGTGTTGCAGAATGTAGTTGGCTGACACCTGTTCTGGAGAAAAATACTCTTTTCTCCACAAGGCCATCCCTCCTATCCATCAGGCTTCTTGTTCACGGCCCAATGCAGGTGCTCCTCGGTACTTCTATTTTCCTCCTTTCTCCTTCGCTTTTCTTTCTCTGCTCCTTTTTTGTTTCTCTCTTCTATATCTTCAATCCCTTACCGTTTTTCTCGTAAAGCACTTGCCCACCACATTGTAATGTAATCATCTGCACCCAGATCTGTCCTCTACTGGACTTCCTTAAGGCTCTGTTTCTGAGAGTTTGTAGTTTTCCCGCAATGCTTTATAGGCAGTAGGTGCTCGTTCAATGTTAGCTAATCAGCCTGCTCAACTGGGATATTTTACTCCTTTTCCTGAATACCTGGTCTTCCTCCCATAACCTCCACAGCAGCTGTGTTTCAGGAGCAGCTCCTCCTCTCTGTTCGGAGCTCTCAGTGTTGGAGGAACAGCCACTGGGATGGGATTCTCTGAGTCCAAGAACCTTCAGCAGCTGGTCCCCGCCTGAAGAGAGAGCTGCTGTTCCAGTTCACAGCACACCTGGCTGTGACAGGAGAACAGAGGAGCCCTGGCAGGAGCATGAGTCAGACCGAGAGGGGGCGAAAGCCTTTTGGTGAAGGTCCCAGAAGGCAGAAGTCTTTTCATAGGGCTCGGGTCAGAGGTGATCCACCCAAGAGGATGTCTGGCAGGTGGCAGCTTCCTTTCTACACTCTTGCCCCATTCATCCTCTCTTTGGCCCTCATCTCTTCCAAGAGAAGGATTCCTTCCTCCTGTTTTGCAAAGTGACTGATTTTCATTTATGCCAATCTAGTTGACAGACCCGGGTCGACGCAGGGCTAAGGTAAGTGTCTGACTTCACAAGCCCCTGTGGCAGCAGCTCTTCTGATGGTTATAAAGAGCCGCTCAGGAGATGTTGGGCCTCCCGACATGGTCTTTTTTGGGAAAGAACTTATCTGCTGGGTGTGCATCTTAGAGGCCTGCTGTAATTTTGGCTTCAGAAAGGGTGTCATCTGGGGCTTGGCCTGAGTCCATGTTGCTCTTGGTCTCCTTCGGTGAGACATCTCCCCCTCCCACTCCTCCTTACCCTCTTGCTAGTTTCACAGATGTACCAACACATCCATTTTTAATCTGACCAAATCAATTACAAATGTTACAGATTGTAATTACCGAAGGAACTCCTGAAAACTAATTATCTAATACGCAATCCCCACAATAAATTACACCTTTCCTTTGGCTTGATGTTCCAGCAAACTGTTTTCTGCTCATGCCTGTAATCCCAACACTTTGGGAGGCAGAGGTGGGCGGATCACCTGAGGTCGGGAGTTCGAGATCAGCCTGACCAACATAGAGAAACCCTGTCTCTACTAAAAATACAAATTAGCCGGGCATGGTGGCACATGCCTGTAATCCCAGCTACACAAGAGGCTGAGGCAGGAGAATCGCTTGAACCCAGGAGGCAGAGGTTGCGGTGAGCTGAGATCACACCATTGCACTCCAACCTGGGCAACAAGAGCGAAACTCCGTCTAAAATCAAAACACAAAACAAAAAAAAACTGTTTTCTGAGGAGGCAGAGAAAGAGTATTGCTCATCCCTGCCAGGGACGCTCACGAAGCGGCTATTTAGCTCTGCTGCATGTTTGTGGGTGTTTGTCAGAGGTGGCCACAGGCTCCGTGCCAGGGCTCTGGGCAGCAGCCACATCATCTTTTGCCACTATAGGGGATGTTGCCAGAATACCCATTGGCCCGTGTCTTGTCGTTCCACCACCAAGAGAAACTTCAGTGTCCTTGGGCAAAACCTGGGAGGCCAGGTAATGGAAAGCAAATAGCAGATGCAGGAGATGTTTAAAAAGGGAAGAGAAGCAACGTGTTAACCTTGGCCTGAGACTAGTGGAGTCCTGTTAAGTGATGGATCACTAGAGCGTTCCTCAGCAACAGTGCCTGTCAGAGAAGAAACCCAGAGCAGACATTTACATTCTTCTTTTCTTGCTTTTTGTTCACTATCAACAGACAATGGAATATCAGAGTTTGCTGAATCTCAGCTTTAGGTACCAATAAAAGCTTTCCTTGACCTAAATGCATTTGAAAAGCACAGTATAAAATTATGTCAGTGATAAAGTAAGAAATTCACTCATTTACAGGACTCATAGCCTCAGAGTTGCAGACCCTTCGCCGGAAGCTGCCATTCATGTGAAATGCTATTCATAACTGTTAATAAAATCATCAGGATAAAAGAGGAAACAGGGAGCAAAGTTGTAAACATCCCAGGCATGCAGCAAGGATGGAGAAGTTTAGCTACAATTGTTTATGTCAGGGGGGCCAAGGAAGGCTGACAGGAAAAAACATTCTTTGAGTTTGTATTAGTCAGGGTTCTCTAGAGGGACAGAATTAATGGAATATATATACACACACACACATATATATACGTATATACATACGTATATATACGTATGTATATATGTATACACACATATATATAGGGGAGTTTCTTAAGTATTAACTCACATGATCACAAGGTCGCGGAATAGGCTGTCTAGGCTGAGGAGCAAGGGGAGCCAGTCCGAGTTCCAAAACTGAAAAACTTGGAGTCCGATGTTTGAGGGCAGGAGGCATCCAGCATGGGAGAAAGATGTAGGCTGAGAGGCTAGGCCCATCTAACCTTTTCATGTTTTTCTGCCTGCTTTATATTCACTGGCAGCTGATTAGATTGTGGCCGTCCAGATTAAGGGTGGATCTGCCTTCCCAGCCCACTGACTCAGATGTTAATCTCCTTTGGCAACACCCTCACAAACACACCCACGATCCACGATCAATACTTTCCATCCTTCAATCCAATCAAGTTGACACTCAGTATTAACTCTCAGAGTCTCAATAGTAGTAAGAAGGTTCCCAGTGAGAAGGAGTGAGCTTGGGGGTGGTCCTGTGTGCCTAGGTATGCACAGGGTTGGTACGTGTATGTGGCAGTGATTGTGTGTGCATACACACGTGCACATGCATTTGTGTGTGTGCAGATATGAATTGTGTGCATGTGTGCATGTGTGTGGATGTGAGTGGGTGTGGATGTGAGTGTGTACATGTGTGCATATCTGCATTTGCATATGCGTTGCTGGGTATGGGTGTGTGTGTGCATATGTATGTGGGTGTCCATGTGTGTATGTGCCTCTGTGTGCACGTGTGTGTGTGTGTGTGTGTATGGGGACATCAAAACACACTAGATAAGATAAGAGCCCTTTACTCTTCTCCTGCAGCCTTGGCCTTTACTTCCCTGTTACAACCTCTGTGGTTCTTACTGTAGATTCCCATTGAACTGACCGCCTCCTCTCCTAGGAGGGCCGGGGGAGGGGGCGGCAGTGTGTTCTTCAGCTGCACACCCAGCCCTGAGCCTGCCTCCTGGTAAGTGCTAGCTCAGTGTCTGCAGAGCAGTGGAACTGCACCCCACACTGATGGGATGGGGGACAGTTAGTGTGCATGGCGGGCAGTTCTCATCTCACCACCTTCCTCACCAGACGTGCTAAGTTCCATTTTGCAACATGGGCAGTCTAGGTTTTGTCACTTGGTTTTTGAGCATTGGTTTTCTTTTTTTGTTTTTTTGAGACGGAGTCTCTCTCTGTCGCCAAGCTGGAGTGCAGTGGTGCAATCTCGGCTCACTGCAACCTCTGACTCCCTGGTTCAAGCGATTCTCCTGCCTCAGCCTCCTGAGTAGCTGGGGTTACAGGCACGGGCCACCACACCCAGCTAATTTTTATATTTTTAGTAGAGATGGGGTTTCACCATGTTGGCCAGGATGGTCTCCATCTCCTAACCTCATAATCCGCCCGCCTCGGCCCCCCAAAGTGCTAGGATTGCAGGCGTGAGCCACTGCACCCGGCCGAGCATTTGTTTTTAAAACAGAAATGCATTTTTTTGAATTAGCGTGGACCCAATTCTGGCATATAGAATAAAGTCTATAGAAATGTAAAGAAACCCTTCTTTTTTCAAAATTCTTGACATTGGAAGAAGTCAAACCTCATGGAATGCTCTCAGTGTCTTTTACTGCAAACCCCAGCTTCTTCCTGGTGATTCTCACGTTCTCGCCTCTCGTGTCCACTTGGTAATCTGACGTTTTAGTTTGGAAATGATTCGGGAACCTACTCAACCACTACTTGTAAATGCTGCTTTTATGAAAACAGTCATTCTTCCTTGCCTGTGTCACCACAAAAGTTCTAGCTTGGTTTCTTTTTCCATTTCCCCTTCATTCTGCACACTTTGCTGAGGCTGCTGTATTAGTCTGTCTTGCACTGCTATAAAGAAATACCTTTACATGGCCAGAGCCAGAGGAAGGTGGGGGGCATGCTACACACTTTTAAATAAACAGATCTCGTGAGAACTCACTCACTATGCGGTACCAAAAGGGGATGGTGGTAAACCATGGGAAACTGCCCCCATGATCCAATTACCTCCTGCCAGCCCCCACCTCCAACATTGGGGATTATAACTGAACATGAGATTTGATGGGGACACAGATCCAAACCATATCAGTTACCTTTCAATAAGAAGATCTAGTTGTATTAAGTGGGAAACTATGAAATTGCCAATATCCAACCTCTCTTGACCTACAAAAATTTGCGGTCTAACAGAAGTCACCATGACACTGCTACCTAGCTCTTGAGTCTGTGTTGGCCTCTCATGACAATGGGTTTTTGAGAAGACATTGCTGTATTTTGTTTCCTATTCGCTTCCTTAGGATTAAATAAGTGGGGTGGTATCCAGAATCTCATGTCCCATCGATGTCATTTGCTGGGTAACCAACAGCAAAGATCAGATATTTACCTCTGACATGCAATGTTCAAATGAAATAGTAAAATGTCTCTATGTACATGTTTTATGCCTCTTTATAATATCAATTGAATTCTATCCTTTCTGAAGTCACTACACCATTTCTCCCAGTATAAAATTGTCTATGAAATCTCAGAGTTGGTTCTGACACTACTAATTTTGAGTTGAGTGACCTTAGACAAACCACCTACTTTTTAAGCTTCACTTTTCTCATATAAAAGTTAGGCATGTTAATAATAGTTAACTCATCAAGCTTTTCTGAAAATTAAAATAAAAGTGCATATAATGTGGTAAATAGGGTGACTCACACCTACTGAGTGCTCCATGGAGTACATTGTACATTTTAAAATAACTCAAAGAGTGAGATTGGGTTGTTTGTAACTCAAAGGATAAATGCCTAAGGGGATGGATACCCCATTCTCCATGATTTGCTTATTTCACATTGCATGCCTGTATCAAAATATCTCATGTACCCCATAAAAATATGTACCTACTATGTTCCCAAAAAATTTTTTTAAAAGAAAAAAAGTATTAAAATTTGTTTTTAATTATTTATTTATTTATTTACTTGGAGTCAAAGTCTAGCTCTGTCCCTGAGGCTGGAGTGCTGTGGCCCAATCTTGTTGGCTCACTGCAGCCTCTGCCTCCCAGCCTCAAGTGATCCTCCCACCTCAGCCTCCCAAGTAGCTGGAACTACAGCCGCGCTGCCGTACCTGGCTAATTTTTGTATTTTTTGTAGAGACAGGGTTTCACTATGTTGCCCATGCTGTTCTTGGCCTCCCAAAATGCTGGGATTACTGCTGTGGGCCACCATGACTGGACTTTTTTTTTTTTTTTTTTTTGAGATGGAGTCTCGCTCTGTCACCCAGGCTGGAGTGCAGTGGCACGATCTTGGCTCACTGCAAGCTCTGCCTCCTGGGCTCACACCATTCTCTTGCTAGCCTCCCAGGTAGCTGGGACTACAGGCACCCACCATCACGCCCGGCTAATTTTTTGTATTTTTAGTAGAGACAGGGTTTTGCCATGTTAGCCAAGATGGTCTCGATCTGCTGACCTCGTGATCCGCCCACCTCAGCCTCCCAAAGTGCTGGGAGATTACAGGCGTGAGCCACCGCTCCTGGCCCATGCCTGACCTATTTTTATAGACACAAGTTCTTGCCGTGTTGTCCAGGCTGGTCTCAAACTCCTGGACTCAAGTGATCCGCCCACCTTGGCCTCCCAAACTTCTAGCATTACAGGTGTGAGCCACTGCGCCCAGCCTGTTTTTATAGAGACAGGAGTCTTGCCATGTTGCCCAGGCTGGTCTTGAACTCCTGGCTTCAAGCAATCTTCCTGCTTTGGCCTCCCAAAGTGCTGGGATTACAGGCATGAGCTACTGTGTCTGGTCTAAAGTCTTTATTGATAACATTTTGAGTGATACTGATTAAAATATAAAAAAGTTTTACCATAGATATTTGCGTTAGCTTTTTTATTGTTGTATAACAAAATACCACAGCATAAAGGCTGAAAAATAACACATATCTCACAGCTGCACACAGTTTAGCTGGGTCCTCTTCTTAGGGTTTCACATTGCTATAATCCAGGTGTCAGCTGGGGCTGCAGTGTGTCTCATCAAAGGGCCAACTGGGGAAAAAGACTGACTTCCAAGCTCCCTCAACGTGGCTGGCAGAATTCATCTTTAACTGTAGGACTGAGGTCTATTTCCTTGATGACCTTTGGCTCTGAATTGGGAGCTGCTCTCACCTAGGGACTGCCTGAAGCTCCTTGTTGCCTGGCTTATCTGTAGACTGTCTTACAACATGGCAGTTTGCTTCTTTAAAGCCAGCAAGGGCTTCTCCAGTCTGCTAAGATAGTATCTTATATAGAACATAACACAGGAGTGACATCCCATCGCTTGTGCTATATTCTTTTGGTTAGAAACAGGTCAGGTCTCCCATCCCAGCACTTTGGGAGGCCGAGGTGGGCGGATCACTTGAGGTCAGGAGTTCGAGACTAGCCCGGCCAACATGGTGAGCCCCCATCTCAACTAAAAACACAAAAAAATTACCCAGGCGTGGTGGCTAATCCCACCACCTGTAATCCCAGCTACTAGGAAGGCTGAGGCAAGAGAATCACTTGAACCTAGGAGGTGGAGGCTACAGCGAGCTAAGATCGTGCCACTGCACTCCAGCCTGTGTGACAAAGTGACACTTCATCTCAACGACAACAACAACAACAGCAACAACGAAAAGAAGTCAGGTCTTGCCTACTCTCAAGGTAAGGGGATTGTATAGGGTATAACGGGTGATGCATGAAGATCACGGGGCCCATCTTAGAATTCTGCATACTATAGTATTCTAATAATCTCTAATAGATGTCCAGTAATCTCTAATAGATGTCTAATAATCAGCAGAGAATATTTTCAGTTTTATCTTCATTGAGTACCATTTTTTTAGATTTATAACTAATAAAACATTATTTTTATATTAATTACATTTCCTTCGCTTTCTTGTGAGGGTTTAGAAATTAGTCTATACATTTATCCTGGGCTGTATTTTTCTGTGGGCTTTCTAGGGTGTGATGTGTGTACACAGAGTTTACACCCACCTCACTGAAACCGTTTTTTTCCCTTGCAGCACTGTAAGGGCTGTGGTAACATAGGCTGGACACGGTGACTCACACCTGTAATCCCAGCACTCTGGGAGGCCGAAGCAGGCAGATCACTTGAGGCGAAGAGTTTGAGACCAGCCTGGGCAACATTGTGAAACCCCGTCTCTACTATAAAAGTACAAAAATTAGCTGGGCGTGGTGGTGTATGCCTATAGTCCCAGCTACTCAGAGGTTGAGGCAGGAGAATTGCTCGAACCCAGGAGGTAGAGGTTGCATTGAGCTGAGATCGTGCCACTAAACTCCTGGGTGACACAGCGAGACTTGGTCTAAAATAAATAATAATAATAATAATGAAACAAACAAACAAACAACATAAAGGGACTTAAATTCTTAACTCTTGGTTTAATGTTACTTGACTTCCAAAGACTAACAGATTAGTCATATATAGTGCCGGTGCAGGTATGGGGAAACTGGCACTCAAGTTGTTAAGTTTAACTGGTACTTTCAGTTCCGATGTGTAGTTTGGCAGCATATCAAAATTAAGAATTTGCATTTGCTTTGATCTAGCAATTCCATTTATAAGGATTTATCCTACAGAAATATGTGGTTAAGAATATTCAAAGCAGAATTGTTTAATGTCAAGTAAGTAGAAGAAACCTAAATTTTCATCAGTGCTATCGATTAGATATCAAGTCACTGATGCAACGGAATTTTACATAGTTGATTAAAAGAATGAGGCATGGCTGGGTGCAGTGGCTCACGCCTGTAATCCTAACACTTTGGGAGGCCGAGGTAGGAGGATCACCTGAGGTCGGGAGTTCGAGACCAGCCTGACCAACATGGAGAAACCCTGTCTCTACCAAAAATACAAAATTTTTGGTAGAGCATGGTGGCCTATGCCTGTAACCCCAGCTACTCAGAAGGCTGAGGCAGGAGAATCACTTTAACCCGGGATGGGGAGGATGTGGAGAGCCAAGATTGCACCATTGTACTCCAGCCTGGGCAACAAGAGAGCAAAATTCCATCTAAAAAAAAAAAAAAAAAAAAAAAAAAAAAAAAAAGAATGAAGCACATGTATTATGGCCACGAAAAGTTTTCTGTAAGTTTGAAAACTTCAATTTTTTCAAGAGCATTAAAAGAAAAATTTCCTTGTAAATAAAGTAACAGCTTTTTCCTGGTCCATAAAGAAAATACGACCTGGAAAGACTAGATCTTATATTTAAACAAAACAAGGCTTTGATTGTGTTAATACAAAATAAAATATGACAAGGAAAAAATTAATTTTTTGTTAAATTCATTGTACTCAAGTTGGAAATCCTGGCTCCTTTCTTAGATACATACTATCTAATTTTAAGTTGTTGTTGTTGAGACAGGATCTCACTCTGTTGCTCAGGCTGGAGTGCAGTGGTGCAATCATGCTCACTGCAGCCTTGACCTCCTGAATTCAGTGGATCCTCCCACCTCAGCCTCCTCAGTAGCTGGGACTATAGGCATGTGCCACCTAACATTTTGTATTCTTTGTAGAGATGGCGTTTCGCTATGTTGCCCAGGCTGGCCTCCAATTCCTGGACTCAAGTGATCTGCCCACCTTGGCCTCCCAAAGTGCTGTGATTATAGGTTTGAGCCACCATACCCAGCCTCCAAGTTTTAATATAAACATATTTCTTAATTTCACTGTGGAAGGGGTCACATGACAGTAAAAGAATGCTTTAGAAATTGTCATATCTACAATGCATGGATCATTGGGACATCACAAGAAACTTTTCCTGTATTCTATATAGAATACAGGAAAATCCTTATAAAGTTATCTTGAAGTACAGGAGCAATTTCTAACATTTTGGGATTTTTGGCAAAGCACAATGTAGCTTTAATAAGACTAATGAGGACCAGGTTGTCATGTACAGGGACTAGACATCTTAATATCTGTTTTCTGTTGGAGGGCTGGAGGGGCAGGGTACATCCAAGCACTCTGGAATCTGTTTTCCATGTGTGATGTACAGGTTGAAAAGCAGTCTTCCATTTGCACAAACGGAAAGTAACAAAATTGTTTAAATTAACCAGAAGTCTGTAACGAGGTTAAGTAAAGGCTAAATGTTGTCGTTTCTTGTTTATCGTTAGGAACACGTGATGATGGTAGTGCTGGTGATGAGGGTGACTGGGCTCAGAAATGATCATAGGTACACCTAGGTTTTGAGGCCTAATTTTCTTGTTTCTGGAAATGAGGTTAGAAACAAGAGTACTGATCAAAATCTCCCTTGGCTATTACTGTTAATATGGTTTGCATCTAGAATGACACAGAAAGCTCATTACCCACATCTTTTCTACGGCAGTGAGGAAAACAGAGTAAGTTCATGAACACAGGGATTTAGCCTTGGGTAACGAGGAAGGGTATGAAGCAAGGTTACTGACATTTCTAAATGTCTGGAATCCGATTTGAGGCTGGGCACGGTGGCTCATACCTGTAATTCCAGCACTTTGGGAGGCCCAGGTGGGAGGATTGCTCGAGCCCAGCAGTTTGAAACCAGCCCGGGCAACATGGCAAGACCCCGTCTCTGTAAAAAATACAAAACATTAGCCAGGCATGGTGGTGCGCACCTATGATCCCAGCTGCTGAAGAGGCTGAGGTGGGAGGATCGCATGAACCCAGGAAGTTGAAGCTGCAGTGAGTCATGTTCACACCACTGCAGTCCAGCCTGGGCCACAGAGCGAGACGCTGTCTCAAAAAATCAATCGATCGATCAACCCGACTGTGGCAGATGAAAAACTTGGCAGTTTGATTTGGAGCTCATGGAAACTTTCAATTAATCTTTTCCCAGATTTTGAATTTCTAGAGCAAGGAGACTGGCTTTCACAGAGGTTTGGGTTGAATTCAGTTTTCTTCAGAAGAACTTCAGAATGCACTACAACAGGAAAGTCGTATTCTAGATGGAGTCAAGTCAATCTGTTTATATATCAGATATATCTGTGATATACATGTAGCTACTATCTGATTATGTGTCAATTAAATAGATCATAAATGTGGAATGATGGGGACTTTGAGAGATTTGTAACTGAAGCTGCCTTCATGCTTGTTAGAATGGTGGGGTGGAAGAGTTCCCAGTTTTGAAGGAGAAGTACAAGAAGACCCGTAATGGTTAGCAAGATATACAGAACACAGTGGACATAGCAGCACACTTCTCAAGTCAGGTAATCTGGGGCTGAAATCTTGCCTTTCCCACTTATTATGTGATCTTGGGCCAGATTGATTTACTATTTTATTTTTTATTTGTTTTCATTGAGCCTGGGCCTTTCTATGCTGCAGGTTAGTTTTGAACTCCTAGCCTCAAGCTGTCCTCTTGCCTCAGCCTCCCACAGTGCTGGGGTTATAGGACTGAGCCACTGTGACTTGCCCAATTTACAATTTTTAATGGAGGGTGAGGGAGTCATAAGAACAAAAAAGATGGTAAAGGGAATTTGAGGAGAAAACAAATAAAACAACAAGGTACAAATAAAAACTGCCTGAGTTCTTTCTACTGACTCCCTCATAAAAAGGAGATTTTCAGATCGAATGTTTTTGCAGACATTGCCTTTCCTTCCCTACAGTGCTTATTTTTTTCAGCTCCAGGTTCAAGCTCAAAGGCCTAAAGTTTTCCAAACATCTGAAGAAGAAGAAGATTTTTGAGACTGTCCCAGCCTATTACATAAAGGAAACATAACCAAGAATTTTGTCTAAAGGTTTTTATTTGAAACAAATATTTGCACCAAGCAAGAGCTTCTTTTCCCCACTCCAAATTAAAACACAGCGCAACAGGGGCCACATTTATTTGGCAGGACAGTTCCAATATGTGAACATCCTCCTCCTCACTGCCATTGGGGTGACTTGACTCATAAGCAGCTGTTCTTACACAAAATATTAACCCGAACTGCTAGTGTCACACAAAAAGAAGTGGTCTTGACTGTGTATGTGGGCCAGCATGTTCTACAAATGCTGAAAGGTGGGAGAAGCACAAATACAACCCACTCTTTAAAAAAACTAAACAATTCAAAGTAAAACGTTCTATCCCCGCCCCCACCCCCCACCCCCCACCCCCGCCTTCTCCAATAATAAAATGTAGCATCGAGATTTGGTTTGTATCCTGACCATTCACAAAGTGTTGCCCCATGGGACTTGCATCATTAGGGTTATGGATAATCACAGTTCATTTGCTTTGAAGAGACGTGTGTCTACTCCTTCCTCCTCTTCTTGCCTTCATGCTTATGTTCTTTGGGGCGGCTGCTGAGGGTCTTTGAGAGCCACCATGCTGCCTGGCTTCTTCCAAAAAGTTGTCCAAATCAGAAGAATCTTCTTCAAACTGAATGGTCCTTCTCAGCCTCTCGGCCTCTCTGCCTATGGTCTGAACCAGAAAACTCCTTGTCAGGAACAAATCTAGGAAACAAGAGAAAAGACTATGAACTATTTTGTTTTCACTGGTGTAAACACTGAAAAGGAGTTGTACAGCTTGATACCTGTTGGTCTTTATTCTGGTTTCTAGGTCATCACCATACATGCCCTTGTCCAGATTTTTACTGGACCTATAAAAACTCTGGACCATATCTTTACCACCTCTCTAGGCTTGATCATAAACATTATAAATTTCATCTTCTACACCTGCAAATCCACTGTCCATACCCTGTAGAAAAGTGGATGACATTAAATGAAAATATAAACATCAATTATTAAAAGATGAATCTGACAACATTCATGTGAAGAGTAAACTCTTGCTAATTCATTGCTCAAATTTTCCACAATCTGAACTGCGAATCTTAAAAAGGTCTTCACTGGACTACACGTGGTGGCTCACACCTGTAATCCCAGCACTTTGGGAGACCGAAGAGGGCAGATCACTTGAGGTCAGGAGTTCAAGACCAGCTGTGGCGTGGCATACAGAGAGCCAAGCAGCAGTGCATGCTGCCTATGTGAGTGTGGGGCCCAGGGTGCCCTGGGCAATGGGACAGAGGGACCCAGGCAGTCAGCCGATTGCAGGAGCTTGGCTCTGTCCCAGCCCCTGGCTCTTAGAAGTGTCCTCATAATGGTCAGTCTGAGTGTCCAGGCCACCTTGAGTCACTTTCAAGGAGTGTTCTGAGGGCTGACAGGGTCCCCACTGCTGACCCCTTTGCAGAGAGGGGGACACTGAGGCCCAGAGACTGGAGAGACTCAGCAGAGGCCACGTGGCAAAGCAGCTGCTGGCTGGAAGGAGGCAGGAGAGGGCAGTGGGGAAGAGCATGGGCCCTGGACCTTAGATGGCTCAGGGTTCGAATCCCCTCTTCACCCCTTCTCTGGGCCTCCGTTTCCCCACCTGTATAATAGCAGTGCCCATCCAGTAAAGTTGTAGTCAGGGGCAAATGCAGTTTATGCAGGCCAGCCCCTCAGCCCTGCAGCTCATCTGTAGTGGGCACTCAGCAGGAGGGGCTTGGTGGCCTCAGAGGCACAACAAGGGCCTGAGATGAGATGGAGCAGCTGGGAGGATGGGACAGCACTGAAGGGGTGGCCTGAGGTGAGTGACTTCACCTCTCTGGATCTCTGTTTCCCCATCTAAATGGGGGGGGCGCAGGGGGTGTGAAGATCTGGTGAGAAGCAGAGGCCAGTGGTACTGTAGACCGAGGCACTACCCGGCTGATCTTCACTTCAGGTGGCCACCCGGGGCAGGCATGGGGTTCACAGCCGGCCCCACCCAGGGCCCTGCGCTTACCCAAGACTGGCCTGTGCCCCTCCCTGCCTCCTGGCCTCCAGGTCTGAGCTGGGTGGGGGCCAGCGACCCTGGCCTAAATGTGGAGGATTTCAGGAGCTGTGCTCCGTCAGACCTTTCAGCTGGCTGGGGCCCTGGGCGCTTCCTTTAGACCCAGGCTGGGGGTACTGCCACCAGGAGGAAGGCTGAGGACTCAAGGGCTCGTTAGGATGCTGGTGTCATGGGCTGGAGACTCGGATTAGTCCCTCCAGCCAGTGCCAGTCATGCCTGCAGCTTGTCCCAGCTTCTCAACAGCCCTCTGCAGGGGCAGCCCCAACCCCACTTTATACATGAGGAAACTGAGGCCCAGAGGGTGGCCGAAGACTTGTCCACGATCACACAGCAGGTTGGGGGCAGAGCTCAGGCTTCCTGCTGCCACCTCCCCACAGGTCCCTACAGACAGGGAGGGTGTGTCTGGGCCACAGGGTGGGCAACCCAAGGGAGGGAAGCAGCGTGCACAAAGCTGGGCAGCAGGGATCTTGGGGTGTGGGTGCAGGAGGAAGCTGCTTGCTCTGGGCTGTGGCCATGCAGTAGCACTCACTGGGCCCTCACTGGGGTCCACCCCGGTTCTCCCCACAGGCCCAGATACAAAGGCAGATACTGTGTGGGTAAGCGGAAGCGCTTCCGCCTCTGCAACCTGCAGGCCTGCCCCGCTGGCCGCCCCTCCTTCCGCCACGTCCAGTGCAGCCACTTTGACGCTATGCTCTACGAGGGCCAGCTGCACACATGGGTGCCCATGGTCAATGACGGTGAGTGCTGCCTCCCATGGAAACATTGAGACTCAGAGGGCGGCGAGCGGGGTGTGGGTCCAAGGTTACCCTGTGATGCAAGCAGGAGACCCAGTCTCCACCCCAAGCCTGGGCCACTCCCACTGTCCCCTGGGGCTGCTGCTCGCCCCTAGCTCCCCAGTCTGCAGCCTTGCAGATAGCTACCAGCCCAGCCGGAGCCTCCAGCATGTTTGTGCTGCTTGGGAGCCTCCAGCCTGCCATGGATGTGTGTCACGGAGGGGTCTTCCTGGTGGCCTCCATACTCCCGCTCCAGCTGTTGCTGATGACTCTTCTACTTGGGCCCCCAGTGAACCCCTGTGAGCTGCACTGCCGGCCCGCGAATGAGTACTTTGCCGAGAAGCTGCGGGACGCCGTGGTTGATGGCACCCCCTGCTACCAGGTCCGAGCCAGCCGGGACCTCTGCATCAACGGCATCTGTAAGGTGTGCCTGGTTAGGAAGAGGCTCTCCCAGCACTGCCTGCCCCCAGCCCCACTGGCGGGCCCCAGGTTCTCTCCTGGTCCTCCTCGGGCCACCCTCCCCATGCTCTACCATTGGGCTTCCCAGCCCCTACCCTCTATGACCTCTAAGGCAAAGCCCCTACCACGCCTCCTGGCACTGGGGACCCCCCCCAAGTCAGGCCTCGCCCCACTGCGTCTCCTTGGATGCCTGCACCAGCACCGCCCCAGCCAGGAAACCGGAGCCCAGGCAGTGGCTTGACCTCTTGCTGGCTGGCTGACCCCAGGCAGTGGTTTGCTCCCTGATAGAGGGGTTAAATGAGGTGGCACAGGTGACATGAAGGGCTCTGAGCCCCGAAGAGTAGCCCTCAGTGTTTGGTAACAATTTATATTCTTATTTTTAATAACAACGATGGCCTCTCCTCTTTGCCCATGTCTCCAGCCACCTACTTGTCCTTGCTTCTTGCCCTCTAAACCACTGGGGTATCAAGGCCTGGGCTCCGAGGAGGACCAGGAGGGAGGTGCCAACCCCCAGTGCCTTTGACGTTGAAATTCCCTGCACGCGCTGCTCAGGAGCCCGTGGCGTGTCAGATCCCCTGCCTGCCCGCAGGCTTTGCAGAACTCTTCCCTTCTCTTGTCTCTTGTGATGCTCATAACATGCCTTTAAGGGAGGGGTGGGTCTCCCTGTCTCACATCTGAGGAAACTGAGGCTCAGGGAGGTAGAGAAGTTCACCTGGGTCAGAGGCACAGCTGGGGTGGGGCAGGGCCAGAGAGAGGCCTCCCGACCCCCACTCCCAGCTTTCTTCTCCTGACCCTGGCTGGCCCCCGGGGCTGGGGCCACAGAGGGCTGGCCGCCAGCACCAGGGGCCTCCCCTCCTCGTGTGTTGCAGAACGTGGGGCTGTGACTTTGAGATTGACTCTGGCACTATGGAGGACCGCTGTGGCGTGTGCCACGGCAACGGCTCCACCTGCCACACCGTGAGTGGGACCTTCGAGGAGGCCGAGGGCCTGGGTATGGGGTGGGACCACTGTGGGGAGGGGTGTGCTCTTCACCTGGTGGCCCCTTCCCCATCTCCCCCGGGCCCCTGTCCTTGGCCTCGTGGCCCCCACCCAGCCTAGAGATGGCTAAGCAGGGAGGGCTTGCTGGGGTGGATTCTTGCAGGAGTCAGGGGACCCCTGGCCCACACGCAGAGACCTGTCCCCATGGGGAGTCTTCCTGTCCCAGAGACCCCAGGCAGGGCCATCCCGACTTGTGTGTGGCCCCTGGGCCTTTCAAAGAATGGTCGTCTCCTCCTGAATCTTCTGAGACCCCCAGCTCCATGCCCTCACCTCTGGTCTGTTTTGCACATGTTGCTGAAGTACTGACTGTGTGCTAGGTGATGAGGACATGCAGGTGAAGCGCTCAGTCCTGAAGGGGGACAGAACCTTCTGGTGTGATCAGTGCAGTGGAGGGAGGCCCAGAGGGCTGTGGGAGCACTGAGGAAGAAGGTCCTGGCCTGGGGAAGTCAGGGAAGGTTTCCTGCAGGAGGCGGAAGTTGAGCTGAATCATAAAACTCAGAAGAGATGGAAGGGGCATTCCAAATGGAGGAAAGAGCTTGCGCCAGAGCCCTGGAGGCAAGAAGGGAAGGCAGGGCCAGCTATGGGGCCTTGAGTGCCAGGCTGAGAAGCTTAGATTTCATCCCAGAGATGCAGTGCAGTGTGGTGGATAAAGCACTGGCCCTGGAGGCTGCTTATATTGCAGCAGGATGCTCATGCACGTTACTCTCCCTGTCTGCCTCACTTTGCTCATCTGTAAAATGGGGTTAACAATAGTACCATGCTATAGGGCCGTCACCCATGAGCTTACACATGTGAAGTGCTGAGAGTAGTGCCCGGCACGTGATGGGTGTGATGGAAGTGAATGAATAAAAGCAGGCTGCGTGGGGATGAGGAGGGTGTCCCAGGAGAAAGGCCTGGGCACTTTGGTTTTTTTTAGAAAGAGAATGCCAGCCGGCCCTTAGAGTAGGGGATGGATCCAGCCTTATGATGAGACCAGTTTAGGTCCCCAAGAGAGGAGTGACGGGGCATGGCCACGGGGTCAGGATTTGTGGCACCTCCGCAAGGTTTTGGTGACCCATGACAGATCCGAGCAATTTGGGGAGCTCAGACTTTAAAGCTAATGGCAAAATCTTTGGCATCAGCAGGCGGAGGCAAGTGGGGAGAGATGTGAGGGGAGCAGGTGGGGATAAGCAAGCTTCTCACCCCAGGCACAACCCTTGCCTGACAGGGTATGTGGACGTGGGGCTGATCCCAGCCAGCACACGTGAGGTCCGCATCCAGGAGGTGGCTGAGGCTGCCAACTTCCTGGCACTGCAGAGCGAGGACCCGGAGAAGTACTTCCTCAATGGTGGCTGGACCATCCAGTAGAACGGGGACTACCAGGTGGCAGGGACCACCGTCACATACGCACGCAGGGGCAACTGGGAGAACCTCACGTCCCCGGGTCCCACCAAGGAGCCTGTCTGGATCCAGGTGCCTGCCTCCCGAGGCCCAGGCGTGGGGAGCAGAGGCGGAGTCCCCAGGCCCAGCACCTCCCATGGTAGGTCTCGTCCTGGAGGAGTGAGCCCTGGGTTAGTCACAGAGCCTGGCTCTGAGCCAGACCCTCCTGCTGAGGCCTCTACCTCGGTTTCCCCATCTTTAAGATGGCCCAACTGTGTAGCTGCAGTTCACAGAGGTGGCTGGGGTCAGCTCCTTTAAGACTGGGTGGATGGAGAAGACACCTCGTGCTCACGGGCCCCCGCCTGCCCACCCAGCTGCTGTTCCAGGAGAGCAACCCTGGGGTGCACTACGAGTACACCATCCACAGGGAGGCAGGTGGCCACGGCGAGGTCCCGCCGCCCGAGTTCTCCTGGCACTGTGGGCCCTGGACCAAGTGTACAGTCACCTGTGGCAGAGGTGAGAAGTGGGGCAGGCACAGCCCCGCCAGCAGGGGCTTCATCTCTGGACAGGGACACCGGCTTCAGCTCCCAGCTCACTGCTGGGCCACCATGGGTTTAGAAGTTTGCTTCTCTGAGCCTCAGTTCCCCATCTGTGAGATGAGGCTAGCAACCGCCCCATGTCCCAGGCCCACTGGGAGGGTAAATGGATGAGGCAGGTGGGTGCTGGCTCGCGGCGTGTGCTCAGTGTGCTGCAGCTCTTGGCGTTCTCCCTCCAGTGGACACAGCTCCCCCTTGATTTTGTCCTTGCTCAGCTCCGGCAGGTTTTGTGCCTGCATTTCTGCTGCGTCCCGGAGACCAGCCCAGGCCCCTCACCACATGACTTATTTCCCTGAACTATTTATGAAAAGTAGGGCAATTTCATTAACTCCGACTCTTCCTCCCCATATTTCCCTCAGTCTCCCCCCATGCTCCTCAGTCTCCCCTCTCTGTCTCTTTGTCTCCTCCCCACTGCTCCTCAGTCTCCCCTCTGCCCCTCGGTCTCCTCCCATACTCCTCAGTCTCCCCCCATGCCTCTCAGTCTCCCCCCATACCCCTCGGTCTCCCCCCATACCCCTCGGTCTGCCCCCATACCCCTCGGTCTCCCCCCAATATCCCTCAGTTTCCCTCCGGCCCTCCAGTACCCCCGCCACGCCCCTCAGTCTTCCTCCCCCGGCTCGGTCTCCCCCGCCATTCCTTGGTCTCCCCCCAGCCCCCCAGTCCTCCCCGACGCCCCTTGGTCTTCCTCCCCCTGCTCGGTCTGCCCTGCTGTTCCTCGATCTCCCCACACCTCAGTCTCCCCCTTTGTCTCTTAGTCCTCCCCTTTCCCCCTCAGTCTTCCCATCGTTGACACTCAGTATCCTCAGGGTCTCAGAATCGGGAATCTGATATACAGACGTTTGAGCATTCCTTCAAATGCTATTATGATGACAAAGTGAAAATGGAGAACTGGGCAGTTACCTTCCAAAGCTAGGAAACCCATTTTATCTAATACAGCTGTCTTTATTTTATTTTATTTTGTTTTATTTTATTTTATTTGAGATGGAGTCTCACTCTGTCGCCCAGGCTGGAGTGCAGTGGCGCGATCTTGGCTCACTGCAGCCTCCGCCTCCCAGGTTCCAGCAATTCTCCTTCCTCAGCCTCCCGAGTAGCTGGGATTTACAGGCACGCACCACCATGCCTGGCTAATTTTTTATTAGTGGTAGAGATGGGGTTTCACCATGTTGGCCAGGCTGGTCTTGAACTGCTGACCTCAGGTGATTCGCCCGCCTTGGCCTCCCATAGTGCTGGGATTACAGGCGTGAGCCACTGTGCCTGGCCTAATACAGGTGTCTTTAATTGGACAAACGTGAAAACCAACAAATACATTTGCAGCACTAGACATTTGGGGAATTGCCTTTCAGCAAATTGGCTGCTTCGCAGGTGGACCACTTAGGAGCGTCTGCAGAGGCAAGTGCCCTGTGGTGGCTGGAAGAGACAGGGGTTCTTTGTCTCAGGCAGGAAGTCCCAGGTGCACAGTCCAAGCTGGCGGGACCTGGAGCTGACTGGCCCTCAGCCACACCATCCTTGCCATAGCAGCCTCCCCTCCACTCCTGCTTGCCACAGATGGTGTCCTCCCTTCCAGGGCTCTTGCAGTATTCTAGGCAAGAAGGAGAGAGGAAAGGGCTGACTCCCAGCGAGGGACTTGTGCCTTTTTCTCCTGAGCCAGGACTGTGTCCCAGACCCCCCTAGTTGCAAGGGAGCGGCAGTGGGGTGTGTTTTCAGCAGGTCCCACTGCTGCCTTGAACAAAATCAGACTCTGTTGGTGAGGAAAGAGGGGGATGGATTTGGGACTGGCAGCTCAGGGGAGGGACAACTTACTCTCGGGACCACGGGGCAGGGGGTGGAGCAGAGAAGGCAGAGCCACCAGCAGACGGGGTCCTGCAGCTGGGCCTCAACAGGCAGTATGGAAGTGAGTGTCCAAGGTGAGGAACGTGGCTGTGCAAAGTCCCCAGGTTGGACAGTGGCAGAGGATGTAAAGGACTGGAGCAGTGCCAAGGCTGGTGTGGGGATGGAGAGCAGGGGCTGTCCATTGATGCCCCATTTCTTGTCCAGACATTCTCTGAGCCGTTGGGAAGGGTGTGGATGGTGGGACCGTGTGTCAGTGGCCCCTGGACACACTGGGCCCTGAAGGCTCAGGCAGCGGCTCCTCCAGCCATGAGCTCTTCAATGAGGCTGACTTCATCCTGCGCCACCTGGCCCCATGCCCTTCACCCGCCTCATCACCCAAGCCAACCCCAGGAAGGAGCAGAGGGAGCTGGTCTTTCATTCTCTTCCCAAGGCTGAAGCCCCAGCCCCCGGTCACCCCTCACTCCAGCCTGGGCCACCCTGGACACTTATGGTCCTCCTCTTTGGGTCCCTGGATGTGGAAATAGGCCTCAGGTCACGTTCAGTTTCCCTGAGGGGAAGGTGGCAGGAGCCACGGCTGGGTTTGCATGCTAGCAGCAGCTGGCATGGATCGAGCTCTTAGGATGTGCCGGGCACGGGCCGAGCCTGCACATGCAAGAACACATGCAGTCCTCCCTCCAGGACATGGAGGAGGCAGGATTGTCGCTCCCACTTCACAGAGGAGGACGCTGAGGTTCAGAGAGGCCAAATGAGCTGCCCAGGCATCTCAGCTAGGATGCAGAGGGTCTGGGCACCCAACCCACTAAACCTCCACACTCTGCCACCCCTCCAGGGGCAGTCAGAGGGGAAGCTACATAGGAGAGGGGGTGGGTGAGAACCGGGAGGACAGCAAGGAGGCGACGGTGGAGGTCTGCCTTCATCCTGACATGGGCAGTAAGGCATCCTGACATGGGCAGTAAGGCGCTGTTCTGGGAGGGTTCTGGCAGAGAGGGTGTCTTTGGGTCTTGGGCGGTGGGCACCTGGGTGCCAGTCCCAGGCTGAGCACCATGGCCCCTAGGTGTGCAGAGGCAGAGTGTGTACTGCTCGGAGCGGCAGGCAGGGCCCGTGGACGAGGAGCACTGTGACCCCCTGGGCCGGCCCGATGACTGCCAGCGGAAGTGCAGCCAGCAGCCCTGCCCTGCCAGGTGAGCCCGCCCCCATCCCCCACCAACTCCCCACCCCCAGGCATCCTGGGTCTGCCACAGGCCCCTACATCTGGGTCCCCGGAGGCCCTGGGGAGGAGCAGAGGGAGCCGGGCTTTCATTCTCTTCCCAAGGCTGAAGCCCCAACCCCCGGTCACCCCTCACCCCAGCCTGGGCCAGCCTGGACACCTATGGTCCTCCTCTTGGGGTCCCTGGATGTGGAAATAGGCCTCAGGTCATGCTCAGTTTCCCTGAGGGGAGGGTGGCAGGAGTGGAGGGGCTGTGCCTTGTCACCAGACTTTGAGGGCAGGACACTTACCTGAGCTTGGAGCTCTGGAGAATCATCCACTGGCTTCTGGCACTGCCCAAACCCCGAGGGCCTGGAAACCCAGCCTGGCCCTCCCTGCTGGTGAGCCTGCCAATGCCACCTGTCTGATGCCATACTGATGACACCTGTGTGCCCTCAGCAGGTGGTGGGCAGGTGAGTGGCAGCTGTGCTCCAGCTCCTGCGGGCCTGGGGGCCTCTCCTGCCAGGCTGTGCTCTGCATCCGCAGCGTGGGGCTGGATGAGCAGAGCGCCCTGAAGCCACCCGCCTGTGAACACCTTCCCCGGCCCCCTACTGAAACCCCTTGCAACCACCATGTGCCCTGTCCGGCCACCTAGGCTGTGGGGAACTGGTCTCAGGTGAGTGTGGGATGGGAAGGTGCCCGCCTCCAGCCCCACCCTTGGTCTTCAGCTACAGGGAGGCAGACAGCCTTCCTGGAGACCTTGTGGGTGGGAGGGAACCTGGGCATTCCAGGGTCCAGCCCCTGACTCTAAAGCCTCAGGGATCAGGAAGCCCCTGGCAAGCATGGCCACAGTCATGGCCTTGAGCTGGGAAGGGCCAGAGAGGGCTGGCTGGGGTCTCTGCCACTCTGACATCAGGCAGTGGACAGGTTACCCAGCCTTGCCCCAGTGTCCCCTGGCAGCCTGCCTCCCAGGCTAAGCCCCTCACCCTGGCTTCCCCTGCAGTGCTCAGTGACATATGAGGAAGGGACTCAGCACCGAAATGTCCTCTGCATCAGTGACACCGGTGTCCCCTGTGACGAGGCCCAGCAGCCAGCCAGCGAAGTCGCCTGCTCTCTGCCACCCTGTCGGTGGCCCCTGGACACACTGGGCCCTGAAGGCTCAGGCAGCGGCTCCTCCAGCCACGAGCTCTTCAACGAGGCTGACTTCATCCCGTGCCACCTGGCCCCACGCCCTTCACCCGCCTCATCACCCAAGCCAGGCACCATGGGCAACGCCATTGAGGAGGAGGCTCCAGAGCTGGACCTGCCGGGGCCCGTGTTTGTGGACGACTTCTACTACGACTACAATTTCATCAGCTTCCACGAGGCTCTGTCCTACGGGCCCTCTGAGGAGCCCGATCTAGACCTGGCGGGGACAGGGGATCGGACGCCCCCACCACACAGCCGTCCTGCTGCGCCCTCCACGGGTAGCCCCGTGCCTGCCACAGAGCCTCCTGCAGCCAAGGAGGAAGGGGCAACGGGACCTTGGTCCCCGAGCCCTTGGCCTAGCCAGGCCAGCCGCTCCCCACCCCCACCCTCAGAGCAGACCCCTGGGAACCCTTTGATCATTTCCTGCCTGAGGGAGACACCCCCATAGGGGCCCCAGATCTTGGGCTCCCCAGCCTGCCCTGGCCCAGGGTTTCCACTGATGGCCTGCAGATGCCTGCCGCCCCTGAGAGCCAAAATGATTTCCCAGTTGGCAAGGACAGCCAGAGCCAGCTGCCCTCTCCATGGCAGGACAGGACCAATGAGGTTTTCAAATGATGAGGAACCCGAGGGCTGCGGAGCACCCCACCTGCCCCCGAGACCCAGCCCCACGCTGCCCACTTTGTACCCGGTCAGCAGCACCCACTCCTCTCCTAGTCCTGACGTGGCGGAGCTGTGGACAGGAGGGACAGTAGCCTGGGAGTCAGCTCTGGAGGGTGGCCTGGGGCCTGTGGATAGTGAACTGTGGCCCACTGTTGGGGTGGCTTCTCTCCCTCCTCCTCCCATAGCCCCTCTGCCAGAGATGAAGGGCAACGACAGTCCCCTGCAGCCGGGGACTCCCACCTTCCCAACCCCAGGACCAGGCTTATGGGACCTTCAGACTGTGGCAGTGTGGGGGACCTTCCTCCCCACAACCCTGACTGACCTCGGGCACACGCCTGAGCCTGCCCTGAACCCAGGACCCAAGGGTCAGCCTGAGTCCCTCAGCCCTGAGGTGCCCCTGAGCTCTAGGCTGCTGTCCATGCCAGCTTGGGACAGCCCCGCCAACAGCCACAGAGCCCCTGAGACCCAGCCACTGCCTCCCAGCCTGGCTGAAGCGGGGCCCCCCACGGACCCGTTGGTTGTCAGGAACGCCGGCTGACAAGTGGGAAACTGGAGCGAGGCAAGTGGTGTGGGCTGGGCGGGCAGGGAGTTTGCGCAGGACCTTGGTGACTATTTCCTCATCTGAAAATGAGCAGAGTGGGACGCAGGCGCCGTCTGTCTCGCCTTCCTTGGGGCGGGGGTTCCCAGGATTAGGGGAATGAGGGGACCTGGGGCCCATTCCTGGGCAGCACAGGGGGCCTCAGGGAAGGCAGGGGCAGGCACACTCTGGCAGCACAGCATGCCCCAGGATGGAGCTGGCTCAGACAGCTGTGCAGTGGGGAGGGTCCCTGTGTGGCCACCAGGCCCAGTCCTGCCCAGCAGGCAGCAGCTTCCCTGAGGCTCTGCCTGGCTCCTCCAGGCTGGACTCAGCCCACTGCTACCTGGCTCTGCCCTCAGTGGCTCCACCCTCCTTTGGCAGTGACCTGCAGACGTCTGAGCTGCATGAAAGAAGCTGGCTAGTGCCCCCTCCCTGGGTCCCCAGATGGTCACTGCAGGAGAAGCAAGCTTCTGTTCAGATTCCTAATTTTGGGGTGGGAAGGGGCAGGCTGAGGCCCACAGGGCTTGTTTTGCGCGGGGACAGGCAGCGATTTGGCTGCTGGTACCAGGACCCAGCCTTCCTTCCCTGGTGCCTCTGGGAAGCGACGAGGCTGGTCAGGATAGCTGGTCAGGGGTGCCCACAGGGTCTCCTCCCCCGAACCTCTGCACCAATGACACTGGCACACAGGCCCTTTGTCCCATGTGAGCAGGGACGGCTGGTTGCTGGGGGGATTTGACTTTTCATTCTCATGGTCTTCCTGGGAGGTGGGTGGAGGAGCCTATTTTGCAAATAAGGAAACTGAGGCCCAGAAGAGGGCCCCTGTCTTGCTGAGGTCTTGCTAGCCTAGGTGGGTAGTTTCCTGGCTGTGGAGGCCTGGCGAGGATGGGCTCTGCCTGGCTTTCACGGGTCTGTGCCCCGCAGTGCTCCACCACCTGTGGCCTGGGTGCCCTCTGGAGGCCGGTGCGCTGTAGCTCCAGCCGGGATGAGGACTGCGACCCCGCTGGCCGGCCCCAGCCTGCCCGCCGCTGCCACCTGTGGCCCTGTGCCACCTGGCACTCAGGCAACTGGAGTAAGGTGCATGAGGATGGAGCCAGGACAGGCATCCCCAGGGCATGGGGTGGAGCCCTGGTTCCCCACGGCCTGTGTTCCGAGAGCGGCAGGGAAGGGGAGGGCTCCAGGCTGCATGTCTATGTGCCTGATCGCACCGGATTCCGAATCTCTTGGGAGTCATCTCATCTTTGTCTGGCTTGGCCTGTCTCCTTTCCTCTGTATCTTTGACCCCATCTGGACTTGTTCCTCCCTTTCTCTGTCTGTCCCAGCCCATGGCAGCCCCTGGCCATGCCACCTTTTGCCTGGGGCCTGCCAGCCTTGGCCTCTCGCTGGGGCTCTTCAGGGATTTGCCCCCGGCTGGGGCGTGGGTCTGATGCCTTTCCTGCCACACGCCTCACGGGGTCACGCCTGTGGGCCTGCACGTGGGGATGTGTCCACACAAGTCTCTCGGTCCCCAGTGCTCCCACAGCTGTGGCAGAGGTTCCTCAGTGTGGGACATGCAGCATGTGGACACATGGGCCCTCTGGCCACTGTGGCCCTTCCATTGTCAGCCTGGACCTGCCAAGCTGCCTGTGCACTGGCCCTGCGGGGCCCAGCCCTGCCTCAGCTGGTACATGTCTTCCTGGAGGGAGGTGAGGCCTGGGCGTTGAGTTGGGGGGAGGGGACACCCTCAGACCCTGGCTGTGCCCTGACTCCTTCCCTGCCCACCCAGTGCTCCGAGGCCTGTGGCGGTGGTGAGCAGCAGCGTCTGGTGACCTGCCCAGAGCCAGACCTCTGCGAGGAGGCACTGAGACCCAACACCACCCGGCCCTGCAACACCCACCCCTGCACACAGTGGGTGGTGGGGCCCTGGGGCCAGGTGAGCCAGGCTGCGGGGGGGAGCAGGGAGCAAGTGCTTGGTAGCGCCTGGTCAGTCCTGGGTTGGGTGAAGGAGCTGTGGAGTGTGTGCTGTGAGCCAGGCTGTCTGTGGCCCCTGCACATGCAGCAGTCACTGGACAAAGCCCTGCCATGCTGGTGCTCACACCTGACAGGGAGAAACAGACAAGGAAAGGGCATGTGTGCTGTGATGTCAGGGAAGGCCTTCCGAGGAGGGGTCTGGGGTTGAGACCCGAGGGAGGAGTCAGTGATGCCAAGGACAGGGATCGAGGGGACAGCAGGTGTGAAGTCTGAGGCAGGAATGATGAGCTTGGGGAGATCAGGGAGCCCAGCAAAGGCCAGCGGCAGAAGGGGGCAGAAGAGGGGCCTCGTATGGGCAGGACACCTTCTGCTGGGCCTGTTTGGAACTGAGGGGTTCAGAAATCTCAGATTTGGGCCCTGAGCTGGGTCCGGGAGTCAGCTGGGCCAGCGTTTGAGTCTGTCCGACTGGCTGCTGAGTGACTCTGGGCAGGTTGCTTTGCTTTGCTGGGTCAGTTTTCTCATCTGTAAAATTGGGACGCTTTGGGAGAGGAGGGTCAGGAGGATTAAATGGAGGAACGCAACAAAGCACAGGGCCGGGCACAGCACGACACTGGCACAGACTCAGCACATGTTTAGGGCTTTCAGACCTGCACCTGTTAACAACAAAGCCTGGCGGGCTGGGCCCCGGCTGTGAAATTGTCTCCACCCCTCCTGCCCATGGGCTGCGGCAGGTCCTCTGCCCTGTCCCTCGGGCACAGCGGTGTCTCGCCCACGTCTCTGCTCACTGCTGCATCAGGGCTCCATCCCGGGGCCCCTGCCCAGGCCTCTCAGGCATGTCCCGTGTGAGGGGCTCACTGCCCTGCCGCCCCAAGGGCTGTCCCATGGTTCTCATGCCCCTTCCCTCTGCAGCAGCCGATCCCACAAGTGAGAGTGGGGTTCCAGCACCAAGTGGGCTCTAGGAATGGGAACAGGTCCTCCAGGAGGCACTGAGAGGGCGGCTGGGAGCAAGGGCAGACCAGTCAGGCACAGGGCGCAGGGACGGCTTCCCAGAGGAGGTGTCCCTGCCCCCACTGCTAGGGCTGGCCCTGGAGACACTCATTCCTCCCCTGCTCCCCCCCAGTGCTCAGGCCCCTGTGGTGGTGGCATCCAGTGGTCACACACTGGTCAAGTGTGTCAACACCCAGACGGGGCTACCCGAGGAAGACAGTGACCAGTGTGGCCACGAGGCCTGGCCTTGTGAGCTCCCGGCTGTGTGGCACCGAGGATTGTGAGCCCGTCGAGCCTCCCCGTGAGTCCCCCGACCCCAAGCTCTCTGCTGAAGTGAGGTGGGGCGGGAAGGGTGATGGGGAAATTGGGTCTTCAAACCATTGCACCCACGGCACCGGCTGGCTCCATCTGTAGTCTGGGCTCAGGAGCCACTGAAAATCCTGATGCCACAGGATCCCATGCTGGAGGCTGGGCTGTGCTGGGAGTCAGTCAAGAGAAGTCCCAGCTACACAACATCCCGCAGGCAGCTTTCTGACCTCCAGTGAGTAGAGGGAGTGGCCTTGGCCCCTGATTTGCTGTGTGAACCTGGGTAAGCTCTTTCCCCTCTGGGTCTCAGTCTTCCCACAGTGAGACCGGGGATGTCCCTGAAGCTGTGTGAAAACTGGGCCTGGGTGAGTCCCTGTCCCCTCCCCAGCCCTGGCCTGTCCATTCCCTGGCCAGAGGACTGCCTAGAGTGAGCAATGGAACCACAGGAAGGGCCTCCCTTCCAGGGTCCTGCTAATCCCAGTGGTGGGGGGTTTCCTGGCCAGCTGGGTCCTGGTGGAAGGGCCTGAGCTAGAGGTGGTTCTGGATATCCCAACCCCCCACCTCCAACACACACACACACACACACACACACACACACACACACACACTCACACACTTCCTGCAGCCCCAGCTGCTCTCAGCAGTGCTGAGGGCAGGAAATGGGGTGGCCCTGGAGTGTCACCTGGGCTCCCCTCACCAGCTGTGTGGCCTTGGGCTCCATTTCCCTCTCAGGGCCTTCATGTGCTGAATAAAGGGGCTGCCAAGCCCCATCCTTGCATAAGTGAGGTCTGGGCATGAAGGGCACAGCACTGCGTGGGGATCCAGGTGGTGCTCAGGGAAGGCGGCTTTTTCCCCTCCCCCAAAGCCACTGTCATCCCCAATTGCAAGGTCAGGGAGAGGGCCTGGGGCTGACCCTGCCAGTCTAAGGAATCCAGGAGCTGTGGCCTGAAGAGCTGCGGCCCCTGTGCTATTGGCTGTCTGCCCCCTGACCCTAGGACAGAGTCCTCAGCCACGGCCCTCAAGCTGGCATTCGGGGCCCCCTGCAATCTCCCCAGTCTGCCTTCTCCCCTTGTCCAATGCAGCCTTCTCTACCTGCGCTGGCTCCTGGGCAGCCCTCATTTGGGCTCAGAGTGGCCCCTGCCATGCCTCGCTGCCATGCCTTGCTACCCTGCCTCTGGCAGGGGTGGCCTTCCTGCCACAAACCCCATTACCTCAAGGCCAAGTGGCAGTGCCCCCACCCTGTCCTGCCTGCCCTCAGCACGCACCCAGCCAGCATCTCAGAGCACTCCTGTGTGCTGCCTGAGCTGGGTGCTGGCATCACATCTCTCGCCTTCATGGCTAGAGCTGGCCACAGGGAGTGGGGTGGTTATGATCCCAGGGGATGAGGACCAGATGGGGCAGAGAACAGGAACTGAGGCCCCTGGGGGCCTAGAACCAAGGACGGATGGCCCAGGAGGCTCTGGGCTTGCAAGGTCTCCCAGGGGCGGGTATGAGTGGGCTGCAGGGAGTGGGCTATGGGGGCTGGTTAGGTGGCTGAACTAGAAGCTGTCCCAAGTGAGGAGTTTTCTGCCACCAGTGAACAGTGGAGGGGCAGCTGGGAAGGTGTCTTGGACTTTGAGACCTGGAATTCCCAGGATGTTTTGCTGGTCTGTGGGACAGTTGGCGGGACAGGGGGAAAGCCGGGAAACTCCAGAGTGTGCAGTCGCTGCAGTGACACAGCATGGCCACATCCATTTGCTGTGGAGGTGGGGTTGACAGAGGAGGGAACCGAGGCCCAAGAGGTGAAGCAGCTTGTCTGAGGTCACCCCGGGCGACCAGGATGCAGGCCTGCAGATGTGCACTTTGGAGCTCTGCCTGGAGCTGGGGTGGAGGAGCCTGCCTGCGGCCTCGTGCCCTCTGCCGGGCCTGAGGGGTGTCCCTGGCACAGGGCTGGCTGCTGTCCTCCCGCTCTTCCTCCCCAGGGAGGTCTGCTGGAGTAAGCAGGGCCCAGGGGGCAGGTGGGGGCTGTCAGCAGTGGCAGTGGCATCAGGAGCAAGGCCAGGAGGCTGGAAACAAGCCACTTCCCAAAATAGCTCTGATAACCACGGGGCAGGAGGGCCCAGCCAAGCCTCAGCCCTGACAAGCACAGCCTGCAGCCGGCCTCCCTCCCCACTGGGCCTGGGCTTAGTCCCTGGTTTCCGCTGACAGCCTGTAGGGCCCACTCTCTCTAGGCTTCCTGGCCCACCTGGGAAGTGGGAGGCTGGCCTGGGAGATGCGACCTGTGACTCAGAACCCGAGGCTGTGTACAGCCCCTGTGGCTGGAGGTGGTCACGGAGGTCTGGCAGGACAGATGCACTGGGGCAGGGGGCGGTGGCGGGAGTCGGGGGCAGAGGCCGCTGCAGGTTGGCAGGAGGCCCCGGGACCGCAGTTCTGTGCCAGGATCTGTCGGGGAACACCAGGGGTGAGCAAGGATGGAGATGGGATGGCAGGGCGTCGCCCTGGGCAGGCTCTTTAACAGTCATGTGAGGGGGTCAGGGTGGGGTCTCAGGACCTTTCCTCCAGAAACCTCAGCCCAGCAGCGCCCGTTCTCGAGTCCTGGGGTCGGCCGTGAGTAGGTGGGACAGAGACACCAACAGTTGGAGACCTGCAACTCCGGTTTGGGAGCCGCTCCAAAAACCGGGGCTCTCTGCTTGGTGGGGAGCTGCTGGAGCCTCCTTAAGGTGGTTGGGGTGGGGAGCCAGGTTCTGGGTACCCCAAACCACTGGTTCTGATGCCTCTCTGACCCCCCACTCCAGGCTGTGAGCGGGACCGCCTGTCCTTCGGGTTCTGTGAGACACTGCGCCTACTGGGCCGCTGCCAGCTGCCCACCGTCCGCACCCAGTGCTGCCGCTCGTGCTCTCCGCCCAGCCACGGCGCCCCCTCCCGAGGCCATCAGCGGGTCACCCGCCACTGACAGTGCCAGGATGCACAGACCGACCGACAGACCTCAGTGCCCACCACGGGCTGTGGCGGAGCTCCCGACCCCTACGCCCTAATGGTGCTAACCCCCTCTCACTACCCAGCGGCAGGCTGGGGAGCTCCTCCCCCTCGAAAAAGGTATTTTTTTATTCTAACAGTTTGTGTAACATTTATTATGATTTTACATAAATGAGCATCTACCATTCTAAAGCACAGTGTGACTTCATCTTGGATTTGGGGAATCTTAAAAGTGAGAAACTCTTCCCCCGACCCCTCTGCCCAAAACTCCACCGCTGCAGCACCTCGGCAGGTGCGGCTTTTCACCTGCTCCTCTGGGGCAGATCTGCAGGGGGCAGCGTAGCAAACGAGTCCCTGAGAGCATGGCATCTGGTGAGGCACGGAAGGCCTCGGAAGCCGGGGGGCTGCTGCCCAGGGAGGCCTGTCTGCAGAGGGTGGGGTTCTGGGGGCAGGAAGGTCTTCTGGGCAGGGGCACAGCTTGGCCCTTACTTGCTGCCTGCCTTCAGCTCAGGCTCCCAGCCTTCCCTGGGGCCCCTCTCTGTGGTCCTCAGAGACCTGTTCCACAGGGATTGAGCCCACCTTGTCACTTGCAGGGACTGCCCCCTGGAGTGGTGGGGACTGGGGCCCCCAGGGGCACCTCCCTGGCTCTGTCTGTTCTATCTGTTGACTCTTCTGCAAAAAAGCGGGCAGAGAGGGGAAGAGCAGGCTGGCCAATTTTGCCCTACTGTGTCCCCACGTGTCCCTTCATCTCTGTGCCCAGAGATAGGGCTGGGCTAATTGCCACTGCCTTGGGGGTGGCCCCTTTCCCACCACCAGCCCAAGCAACAGGTTCCTACCATGCTGATCTATGGTCCAGCACCTTGGCACCTGCCTACCCACAGCCCCTTCCCCTCCCATAAAATCTAGTCCCATGGAGCCAGACAGTAGTGCCCACAGCAGGGAACAGATGGGCATAAAGGTGCTTTGAAGAGGGTCCTGGCCTGACCAGGGGCGGGAGGCTGGAGAAGGGGCGGACACTGTCCTCCCAGGCCCAGGCCCAGCCCTGGATCCGACCCTGGCCTCTGGCTGTGAGCCTTAGACTCAGCCGTTGACAATTTCCTCCTCAGCCCTCCCCCTGGAAGGTGTTACGCCCCTTCTACAGGTGGGGGACACTAAGGTTCAGAGGGGCCACCCTGCAGCCTACAGGGGTCACCTCTCACATTCTACTCTCCAGCGTATGACAACCCTGGACGAAAGGCAAATGTAGCCCTGGAGCCTGCATGTGGCAGCCGCGGCCGCTCAGGGCTGGGTGTATGCTGGGGATGGAGAGGACACCACTGAAAATCACTCCTGGCTGGGCGCGGTGGCTCACACCTGTAATCCCAGCACTTTGGGAGGCTGAGGTGGGCGGATCACCTAAGGTCAGGAGTTTGAAACCAGCCTGGCCAATGTGGCGAAACCCCATCTCTACTAAAAATACAAAAATTAGCCGGGTGCAGTGGTGGGCACCCGTAATCCCAGCTACTTGGGAGGCTGAGGAAGAAGAATCGCTTGAACCTGGGAGGCAGAGGTTGCAGTGAACTGAGATCACGCCTTTGCACTCCAGCCTAGGCGACAGAGGGAGGAGACTGCGTCTCAAAGAAAAGAAGAGAAAAGAAAAAAAATTACTCCTTAGGGACTGAGACCAAGAAAGAGCATCAGAAGCTGAACCCCTTGGTGAAGAGCGTCTGTCCCAGGACTTGGAAGGGAGGGAGGGGAACGTGGCCAGGGGGGCTGCCTGCAGGTGCCTGTCCTGCTGCTCCTCAACTCAACATGCTCACCTCATTTCACACCAACACGCCCCATTCTCAGAGGAGGAGCCCAAGGCTCTAAGAGGAAGTAACTGGCCCAAGGACACATGCCCTAGTGACACAGGCCCATCCTAGGTGCCGACTGCCCACCTCCAAGTTCCAGGCCACCCTGAGCAGGTGGAAGAGGGAGAGGGCCCCGAGCAGGCCCCAGCTATGGCTTTGCACAGAGAGGGCAGCCTGCCAGAGTTCACGCAGGAAAGCAAGTTGCTGGGAAGGCTAGCGTGAGTCCCAGCCCCGCTGTGCTGACCGAGGGTGGAGGAGCGTCAGGCGTGCTTCCTGTCTGTCTGCAGCAGCCAGGCTGGCCCAGCAAGACCTGGGGACCCACGCTCTGAGTCATGGGTTCCCAGGCCTTAGTCAGAACTGCCCCTGGTGGCAGTCCCTTCCAAGGGGTAAGGAGCAGGGCCTGTCGACTTGCTCCTGACCCACACACTGAACCAGTCCCTAAGAACATCATCCTGGGCATGCCGTACCTGTCGTGCAGTCTGAGTCATGCTGCCAGGGCAGGTATCCAGCTCCCAGCCTGGGAGTGCTGAGAGCCAAATCCACTGCAAAGCAGGGCTGATAGTCAGGGTCCCACCTCATCTATCTGTCGGCAATCCAGTGGTATCTAGGTGAGAGTCCCATGCACACGGTCATCCCACAACACACTCCACACTCCACAGGCCAGGCGGGGACACACAGCCCCCTTCCCTCCCTCCCAGGTACCACCATAGCTGCTAGTGTGTGACCGAAGGCAGGGTCCCTGGCCCCCGCTGAAGCACTATCGCCGACCAGCAGGCTCACACACCTTGGCCTGTTGCTCCTAGGGGTCGCCTGTGCTATTCAGCCAAGGGGACCACAGTGCCTGCTGGCCCAGCTGAGCTCCGCCTAGCGAGCCCACCTGCCTCTCCTGCCATGGACTCTCCCTCTTCTGCTTTTCCCAGCAGGAAGGGCCCAGCCTCACCTATGCAACCTGCAGCCCCACCCCCGCCAACCAGTTGAGGCTCCCCTCTTAGACTTATAAGTCTATGGCCAGTGGCATCCGGCTACCTGCCCTCCCTGCCTTCCCCAGGGTCCCTTCAGAGGACCCTGGGATTTCGGACCACCCAGAGGGGCCTCTGGCACTCACTCCAGTCATCCATCCCTTATAGCTTCACCATTTTTGGTTCAAGCAGTGTTCCCTTTCTATCAGGCCTGGTGGCTGTTGGGTGGGGCTCCCCAAGCAAGAGGTGGCCCTGGGCCGTGAGTTGGAAGACAGGGTGACCAGAGAAGAGAGAAGCCCGAGGGGGCTGAGCATTCATCTGAACTATGGGTGGACTGCCTGGGTGCCATGAAAGAGGCCAGCGTGTGTGGGGTGGGGAGGGCCGCCGCAGCCCCCAGGCACTACCTATGAAGCTCCGGCTTCTCCCTCCATCTCCCTCCCCTTTCCCTTCCAGCCCCTCTTTTCCAGGAACCTTGCCATGCCCACACCTACGCCCTCCCCTCCCCGGCCCTCCACAGCTGCTGCAGCGCATCCATACTCTGCACTTGCCTCAACCAGCTCTGGCTTTTCTCTAACCCGTTTTCTCTCTGCTTTCTCTCCAACTGCCAGCTGATCGGGTCAGGCAAGTCCATCCCGTCCTGAGAGCCCCAGGCCCCACTTCGACCTCTAAAAAGATTCCTCCTCTTCTCAGAGACCTCCCTTTCCAAGCCTGCCTGGGCGGGTGTCCTGTGACTTGACAGTGGCTCCCCCAGCCCCAAAGCCAGCCCCCTTCTTCTGTGACTTAAGTCTGTTGTAGCGGTGAGCTGACACGTCCAGGTGTGACCATTGCTGAAACTTGTGCCCCCTCTGTAGTATGCCCCTGCCCTGTTCTATAAATAGCTATAAATTCTCATATATATACACATACACAAACACACACACACACATACACACACACACACACACACATATATATATATACATATATACATGTGGTCGACTGCCTCGCCTCTAGAACTGGGAACCAGTCCCCGTGCTGTGCTTGTGGAGTCTTGTAGCCCAGCAAGAGGAAGCTGTCTCCTGACATCGCCCCTCCAAAGTGCACCACCTCCAGTGAGCTTCCGGGACATGCGCGGCCTGTGGACAGCCAGCCCCCGCCATCCCTCCCGCCCTTCTGGCCAAGCATGGCGGTGCTGTGCAGGCAGCTGTGTGGCCTGACAGTCTCTACCAGTCCTGCTGTCCCTCGGCTGAGAAACCCATTTCTGAATGACAGAGAATGTGTCCTCTGCTGGCTGTGTTCTCTATGGAGCTCAGGGGAGGGAAGAGGCCAAGCCATTTTTAGGGTGCTGTTGGCAGCAGTGAAAAGGTCACACCCTTTTCAAGGGACACTTTTCCTGGAAAGTCCCTGGAGCTTAGCTGGCTCTTATCCTATGAAGCCGGCTCTGGCCACTAGGGCACAGGGCCCTGAACTCAGCCTGGAAGGAGCCTGTGGGGCAGCCGGCACTCTGGAGGGACAGACAGGCCACCCGGTGCAGACAGGAGAGGGAGGCAGGGGGATGGAATGGAAGACACCTGGGGTGGGTGGAAGTCAGTGCCCTTGGGCACTGGTATCTGTCTTCCTGACCACAGCTAGATCAGGCTTCTCAACCTGTTGGCTGTCAGGGCCGGACTATACTCCATAGGCGCCATGGCAGTCCTCGTGAAATCCACCAGGTGTCACCAGGCAGCATACAGGTAACAGGCCTGGAAGATTCCCCACAGCCCAGCTGGACATGCTGAGACACTCTGGGGCTCCTCGTTGAGTGGGAAAAACTGCAGGACCCAGTGAGGGAAACAGGAACATGCCAGGCCGAGCAGTATGGCTAAATCCATTTATTCCAAAATCAAAAGCGAACCAAAACAAAAACAAAAAAACAAAACAAAACAAAAAAGGGGTCCCATCACCAGGGAGCCATGACGCCATCCCCACCCCCATCATCGCTCCTATGCTAACAATGAATAAGTTTCCCAGCCGTGAATAATTATAAGAACCTCTTCCTCATATGCCAGCTGCAACCTCCGCTAGGTACGATACAGAATGTTACACAGCTACAGTATGTACACGGGGGAAGGGGGGCCACCCCCAGCAGCCTGTGCCCTGGCCTGGTCTACAGTTAACTCCACTGTCCCGCCTCAGCTGCCTCTCTGAGTAAGAAGATGGGAGCCCCCCTGAGGGAAAAGTTGCTTTGGTGAGAGTAAGAAGGCCGTCAGACCTCCTCCAAACAAACCAACTCCACCAACCTCTGGCTCTTAAATAACATCATCATCCAGAAATGTAAGGACTCAGCCTTGGTCAAGGTGGTAAAGGGTCTGTTTGTCTCCCTCCATTAGACAAGGGTCTTGTCTTGCTACCCTAATGGTAAAGGGCTGACTGGGGAGGGGTTGTAGGGACATGGTGGGGGTGAAGACTCCAGACCCACTTCTCCAGGCTTATGCTGACAGGGGCCTGCTTTTATTTATTTTTATTTTTATCCCATGATGTTTTTTTAAATCCCGTAACTTCTTTTTCAGAACTTTTTAAAAAAACTTTTCATAAAACTTTTTTTTTTTACTTTTTTCCCACATCTTTTTTTGCCACAACTTTTCCACAGTATTTTTTATCCCGTAACTTTTTCATCCCACAACTTTAATTCCTGTAATTTTTTAGTTTGTGTTCTTTTAATAAACACACTTATATGGTTACAATTTTGTAAGAATAAAAACCGATTATCTCATGCCAAGCATGCCCAGCATTTGCACAGTCTCAATACCTTTAATACTATAGTTTTCAAGACACACAAAATTTTTAGGCAAAACAGCACCTTGAAATAATCTAATAATCTATTACATTACAGTAGCATCACAGAAGCAGTCAATAATGCCACTTTAGACAAAAATCAGTATTTCCATCATGCATTCTGTGTATAAGAATTCATAAATCGGTAAAAGTCGTTCTAAGAAAACTTGGCAAATACAGCTTTGGACTGGAATTGGCATTTCTTTCTCTACTTTTCCTTCCCCTAGATTCTTTGTTTTAAGCTACAGTATTCGTATTTTAAAATGTTTTAAATTATTTTAAGACGTTAATATAACAGTTACATTTTTGAATAGTTATTTGAAAGTGACTGTAAGATAAAGTTTTAGGGAATCTATTTTGGATAGGGTTGATTTACATTTTCACATTTTCTAAAAATCAGCTTTGGTTTTAGAACTGATTGTTTTTCATTTCAGGAAAAACTATCAGGTTTAATCTATTACTTTAAAAATAATTATCATATATTGCAGTCTTTAAATAGGTATTTTCATTCTTTACTTCCTACAGAAATTCAAATTTATTCAGTCGAACTCACATTTTAAAATTCTATCTTTCTGCTGAACTCTAACCTTCTAATATTGCCTTCTAAGCAAATTAAAGGCTGCCTTATACTGAATGAGGAAGAGAACAAATACTTGGCTGAATGAGGTACTGCAAGAGACTGCATGCACTTTGAAGAAAGACTTGAGTTATTGTCATAGGATTTCCATTCTCTTTAGCTTTTTCTTAAACATATGACAAAATACCTACACAGAGAGTGGTATTTGAGTTAATATAGTACATTTATTTTTCAGACTGACATTCAGCTTAAATATGCCAGTATGTGATTTAATCCACAGGTACCTGATGAACACATTATTGTCAGATTGGTTACAGTTGCTAAACGCTATCTGAAGGTCATTCCTAGTCATTTATACGTGTCAGGGTAAAAGTGAAGCGATTTGAACTATAAAAATACCTTTGAAATAATTTATCAATGTATTAGATAAGCTCAGTTTCAGAATGATAAACTGTTAGACCAAATAATGTGGCTAATTAACAGTGGTACGATTTCTAGCCCGAGGGTTTAAAATGGAGTTAAAGTAAGTGTCTTTAAACTGAACTCAAAGAATGCAAAAGCGGCAAGTTCAGAAAAGGCAAGAACAGGACCTTTAGTCCATTTTAAGCCATAAATATTACACAAAATATGCCTCTAACTGAAACTGAGAGGTATAAAAACATATTTCACTCTACGTAAAGAATTTTGTGAGGAAATATAAGTCTGTGATTGTATAGACACTTTCCTCATGACACTTTGACAGTCACAAACAGTAGATTGCGCTGCCGTTTGTAAACATTTTAAGTTGCATAAACTGCTCCTTGATTTTCAAATGTAGTATAATACTGTCTACTAAAATTCCTTTTTGTTTCAACTAAGTACTCTCACATATATTAGTTTATAATAATTGTTATTATTTTTAAAGTGTTCTCCATTCAAGGAAAAGAAGTAAATTCCTATGTCAGATGGTTGAAGACTAGCTATTAGCCAGAGAGGTCTAGATGGTAAAATCCATCTTCTAGCCTCAAATAAGCTCCATGAACATAGAGGAATGCCAGGTGTCCCACAGCTTTCCTTCACTCGAATTCATTCTTGACTAGAGCCTGTATATGCCTGTTCCAGGGGCATTTAAACTCTTAAAGGATTTCTTCTGATCTTTACTAAACACATTAAGGAGAATGCCAACCAGTGCCCTTTTGTGTACTGGGACATGTAGTCATGTGATTAAAACAGGGAACATGAACTCTGACTTTAAAATGTATTGTAGATATAAATGCTCTCAGCTAGAAAAGGTTTTCCACATCCACAGTCATGATGGGAGCCTTTCATTCCTCAGAAATAATCCCTTTTCAGGTCATCAAAAAAGAGTACAACTGCCACAGCTCATGAGGCAGTATCTTCATGAGCCCAGAGCACATACAAATCCTAAGGGAACTACCATAGTACAGCGCTCATTCTTGGCACCGGAACAAATGAAACATATTCTATCCTGCACACACCTGCCAGAGCAGGCCACTTTCCTCTTCTGGGAGATTTAAAAACCTCCCCAAAATGTTATTACTCCCATCCCCAATACACAGAAAAAGGGGGAAAGGCTGTTTCCAGTGCTCCACCTTTAAACAACTGTAAATGTCAGTACTCACAGTGGCATATTACAAAGTAATAGACCGCGCACTTGAGGGCAAACCGCATATTGAGCTAATGAAGAGCTCACTGTGATTAGGATTCGATCAAACATAATAGCAGAACATAAGGAAATTTTATCTGAATTCCGTAATGAATATACATGCTGTACTAACATTCAAAAAGCATGGCAGCCTATCCCAAACCAGCAAGAACAGTTGTGTGCATACAGTGGGTCTTTGTGTGTTTGAACTCCCACCACATAAGGGCAAACTCGATATGCATGCTAACGTCCTATAATTATCAAATTAAAAAAATGCTAAAAGATGCCAGAGTGAACATGAGAGAAAGACCCACTGTCATTTGACTTTTTACAAATAAATTTAAACTATAAATTAGAAACACAAATAAATTTAAACTATAAATTAGAAACACAAATAAATTTAAACTATAAATTAGAAACAAATAAATTTAAACTATAAATTAGAAACACAAATAAATTTAAACTATAAATTAGAAACACAAATAAACATAAGTGGCTCTAACATTCAAATGAAGTAAATGAATTGTGTAGGATATTAACCCCTTAAACGTTTTGTTGTTTTTTTTTAATTCCTTGACCCGCTCTTAGATGATGGTGATGTTTAGCTCCCTGTTCTCGGCAGCCCGAAAAGAATGGCATGCAGCCTCTCCTGCTCCTCCTGCCGCCTCTCCTGTACCAACAGCTTCTCCACCCAAGCCTGGGTGCTCCTGGGGAGTCCTGCATTAGAGGAAGCAGCTGCTGGATCTGCTGTGCAGTGGGGTTGTCATGGGGGAGAACCCTCCCTGTCCTGTCCCGGTGCAGCCTCCATGCTATCAGTGAGGCTCAGCTCACTAAGATCTTCAGAGAGAGGGAGGGGGTGGGAATCTGGGCACAGTGCGAGCCTCCCCTGCTCCTGCCTGCCCACCCCGCCTGAGGGCTCTACTCACCACCCTGCTTGTCCGCACATCCAAGCTCCTTGTGGGACTGGGGCTCCAGCTACTGGTCTGGCTGCTGCTGCAGACTCGGAGCCTCTTGGCTCTTCAGCTCCACCTCATGAGGACATGTGGTGGCTGGCTTCCAGATTCCTGGCCCATTAATAGGGTAGCGAGGGCACTGTGGGGCTCTGTGGCCTGCCCAGGCCCCTGGCCCCTTGCTCCAGGCCTAAGAGACTGTCTCCCTTGCCTAGAACCCCATGCCTCCTTCCCTAGCATCAAATCTCACGTCCTTTTTCCCAGCATTTAAACTGTAGGCCACAGACTGGTGGAAAAGCAGGCGGAGCCAACCACCATCTGCTAAGTGTGCTACATGCCTAATGTTTCCACGTATTATCTCATTTAATCCTCAGCACCTCTGCAAGGAAAAGGCTAACTTCCTTTTGAAGTTAAAGAAACAGAGACTTAGAGATGCAAAGTAGTTGAATTATGACCAGTGGAACCGAGGCCGGAATCCAGTTTGAATCTAAGGAGTCTTTTTTGTTTGTCTGTTTTGTTTTGTTTTGAGAGAGTGTCACTCTGTGTCCCAGGCTGCAGTGCAGTGGTGCAATCTCAGCTCACTGCAACCTTCACCTCCCGGGCTCAAGTGATTCTCGTGTCTCAGCCTCCTGAGTAGCTGGGATTACAGGCATGCACCACCAGGCCCGGCTAATTATTATTATTTTTTTTAATTTTAGTAGAGATGAGCTTTCACCATGTTGGCCATGTTGGTCTCAAACTCCTGACCTCAAGTGATTGTCCTGCCTCAGCCTCCCAAAGTGCTGGGATTGCAGGCGTGAGCCACCACACCCGACATAAGGAGCCTCTTATACCACTGTCTCTTCCTCTGCTCTGTGATTGGGGGGCTCCATGCCTCTAGCTGGGATGATGATGTCCAGACCTGGGAGGACCCCAGGGCTACCCACCTCTAAAAGTCAGAGGGCAGGAAGCAAGAAACAGTCATAGGACTGCCCCGGAGGGTGCTGGGGTCACCTGTCCCCAGGCTGCAGCTGCCTGTGGCCTGGTACCTCCCCTCCCCAGAGGCTGGTGCCCGCCTCCCACATCTTCTTGGATGGGTCGGAGGTTACAGTCTCTTTCAGCTCACCCGACTTCTTCAGCTCCTTTACTTGCTGCTCCAACTGCAGTGTGCTCTTGTTCTCGTTGTTCTGGACAGAGAGAAGCAATCAGTGGCCACCCACTAAAACTGGAGACCCCAGAACTTAGTGTCTGCCTCCCATGGCACCGGGAAGGGTGGAGGCAGGTTAGAAAAATATCCCCTCTCTCCCACAGCCATCAGAGCAGGGCTCTGGCTCACAGATGCCTTTAGAAGTACCATTTCATGTGAAGGCTACAATGCCCCATTTTACAGGTGGGGAAACAAAGGCCTTGAGGGCTAGGGAAGAGGGCAGCCTCCCCAGGTGGGGCAACGCACCAGCTCCTCGAAGCCGCTGCGTGGCTCGGCCCGCTGCTCGTACAGGGCTTCCCACCCCAGCTCCAGCATCCTCTCCAGCTCCCGCAGCCTCTCCAGCTCCTGCAGAGTCTCCTGCTGCCACAGCCTCTCATCCTGTTGCCGAAGCCTCTCCTGCTCCAGGAGCTCCTCCACCTCGTCCAGGAGCTCCTCCACCTCGTCCAGCAGCCTCTCCCTCTCCCCCTCTCCAGCAGCCTCTCCTGCTCCTCCTGCCGCCTCTCCTGTTCTAACAGCTTCTCCACCTCTTCCAGCAGCCTCTCCCTCTCCAGCAGCCTCTCCTGCTCCTCCTGCCGCCTCTCCTGTTCTAACAGCTTCTCCACCTCTTCCAGCAGCCTCTCCTGCCCTGGCAGCTTCTCCTGTTCACACAGCCTCTCCTCCTGTTCACGTAGCCTCTCCTCCTGTTCACACAGCCTCTCCTCCTGTTCACGTAGCCTCTCCTCCTGTTCACACAGCCTCTCCTCCTGTTCACGTAGCCTCTCCTCCTGTTCACACAGCCTCTCCTCCTGTTCATGTAGCCTCTCCTCCTGTTCACGTAGCCTCTCCTCCTGTTCACACAGCCTCTCCTCCTGTTCACACAGCCTCTCCTCATGTTCACGTAGCCTCTCCTCCTGTTCACACAGCCTCTCCTCCTGTTCACGTAGCCTCTCCTCCTGTTCACGTAGCCTCTCCTCCTGTTCACACAGCCTCTCCTCCTGTTCACGTAGCCTCTCCTCCTGTTCACGTAGCCTCTCCTCCTGTTCACGTAGCCTCTCCTCCTGTCTCCTGTTCAGGAGACTCAACATCTGATTGTTTTCCACCTCAGCCTGGAGCTGTCTTCCCACACTCTCTAGCTCCTTCCTTAGGTGGTTGGTCTCATCTTGTAGCTGCTCTACCTTAGATGGCCCTGCTGGGGGCTCTGGGGCCAGGGGTTCAGCTGAGAAAGGAAGCAGACAATAAGGGCCTCTGGATTCTCAAAAAAAAAAAAAAAAAATCCTCCCTTCGGTGCACAGCTCCTCCTCTCAGGCTTCCCAAACTTGGCCTCACTGCTAATGACTCCTCACACCTGGATGGTAGCCAGTCTTCCAAGTCACTTTCAGATAGAGAGCACTGTGGGTGGCTGACAATGGGCACTCCTCCCTCTTTACTGATGGGGACACTGAGGCTCATGGAGATGACAAGACTTGTCCTCCCCTGGCACAGACCTCTTTCCCTCTGCCTCAAAGTCCTTCCATCCACCCACCTCCCTGGGGCATTCTAAGTCACCCCCACAGCCCTCTAATGCCAGTCCAGCTGCCAGGTCATGCCAGCCCCATCTTACCCGTCTGGTTTTTGAGTTTGAACAAGCTCCTCCCAAGCTTCTGTACCAGATGTATCTCATGCTTCTTCTCCTCCTTAGATGTGCGAACCTGCCCAAAGCAAAGGGGGAAAAGGGCCCTGGAGGGAGGGGCTGGTGAACCTCTAGAGACAGAGTTTGAGAAGGGCCCACCCCCCTTCTGCCAGTTTGTGATTTAGAAACGTGCATTCATTCAACAAACATTTACTGAGCATGTACAGGCCAGGTACAGTTCTTCATAGCAGAGATATAAAACAGCAAAGGACAGACAGGAGCCCTTGGCCCTGAGGTTTCCATTCTAGGGGCCTTTAAATCTCTGACTTTCAGAGCTAACCGAGACCTTTGATACTCTCTACCTCCTCCAGAAACACGAGCATAAAGAGGAGAGATGGCTTCTCCAGACTCAAAAAGCAAATTAGGGACTGAGGCAGGGCAGAAATATGGACCCCTGACAACCAGTCAGGCTAGTGCTTCCCAGAGAGGTGACAACCCCAGGGCATGTGTGGCAAGGACTAGAGCAGGGGTGTCTGGAGAAGAGAGAGTCAGCAAAGAGGGCAGTGCAGAAGAGCCATGCTGCATGTTCTGTGCTCTGGGGTCCCTCCAGGTGAGACCTGGGTGCCCAGCTCCCCATTTGCCCTTGGCATCAGGGGCCCCTAGCCCCTTTCTTCAGGGCCCCAAGAGGAAACTGGAGTCCAGGATTGACCAGCTGTAATCAGGGGACCCCACTGGACTCTTACCAGTGAATTGATGTTTTCAGTGAGTTGACTGATTATTGCGGAGCTTGAATCCAGGGCCACTGCTAGTTCTTGGTACTGGCTCTGAGGTGCATGCAGAGAGAAGGAGTTGGAGGAAGATTGTGGGGAGGGGTAGAGAGAATAATCATTAGGGCTGGTGGGGGTGTGTGGGCTGCCTCAGCTGGCAGAGGGGCAACAAGCCCCTGCTGTGGGAGGAGGTTGGAGGGCTGGCCTGCAGGGTCACTGCACCTCAGCCCAGGGCCTCTTACCTCCAGATCCTCCAGGGTAGTAGAGGATGCACGGCCCTCCCCGTAGATACCTGTTGCTGACTGCAAGAGATGAGAGTGCACATGGAGATGTTCTGTCCCCCCTCACTGTCTAAGCCCTCTGACTTCCTTTCTTCCCCCATCAACTGGCAAAAGCTTCTTTTCTGCCTATCTTGGACCCTTTTTCCCATAACTCCTTTGTGCCAACTTCTCTCGTGGTTCTTATCTCCCCACCATCCCACCCTGGGGCCCTTTCAGTGACTCCTAAAGGGACAGCCTGATGGCAAGTGGCTCTTCTCATTGGCCTGGCTTCCCCTTGAGACTGGGGATGAGGAAAATCAAACAGCAACGACCATTTCCTCGGTGTCCTGGGTGTTTGCAGCAGGCCATGTACTAAGGATTCACATAAAAGCAACAATAACGAATCTCATTTAAACTTCACAAATGGAAGTCAAAAAATACCACCTCTATTATACAGATGTGAAAAGAGAGGCCCAAAGACCTCAAGCAACTTGCCCTAAATCATATGCTAATCAATCCCTAATCAATTCTTAGCAGATGGAGAGGCAGGATTCAAATCCAGAATTCTTAACCAGTACCCAACAGTCCATCTACAATCTTAACAATTACCCTCTACTGCCCCTTGGGCCCCCTGTCGCCAGGACCCTGGCCCGCCGAGACTCACATCCCCAGGTGAGTGGTAACCACCAGAAGTGGCTGTGTCAGGGCTACTGCCATTGATTTTCTTTTTCCTGTTAGCTCCTGCTGGAATGCCAGGGCTCTTCCTCTGCCAATATGCTTTTAACTGTGGGAAAGAAGAGCGGTAACACTCATGAGAATGATCAGCCCCTACAGCCACATCCTCCTTTACAGTTTTGACAAAATACCCTTATATACCATCTGATGTAATGCCACCAACAACTGTACAAGGTGTTGTCACAATCACTTAGTGACTGAGAGGGATTGATATCATGGATAGAAAAAAAAAAAGAAAGATCAAAAAAGGCAATACTGGAACTTAAACTCAGTCCTCTGACTCCAAGCTCTGGGGTTTTGCCATGAATCAGCAGCTTCCAGGGACCAAAACCAGGGGCAGAGGTAGAAAAGCACACATTAAGCAGGCAGGAACTGTAGGCCGTGTGGTTTAGAGTCATACATCCTCACAGGTCTGCTAGCGTGAAGAAGCGTACCAGTACCTCTCACACTTTCATATCAATGTGTCCTCATGGCAGAAGGCAGCTTTTCTATTAAATCTGGGAATTTATCAGAAAGAGGACAACCCAAGCCTCATTTCAGAGCGAAGTCTGGTATACGCTTGGAAACCTATGTGTCTGTCATCCCTAAGTACATTAATGCATTTTCTCAAGAGAATCAAGGGAAAATGATGCTTCAGAAAGATGTCCCACATTTATCCTGTGGCACTCAAAGTACCCCAGGTTGAGACGATATGAGGAAGATTCAAGCTGTCAAGTTCAGTTTCCCAAGATCTATTCCACAGAAGATGAGCAAATCTCACTTCAGAGGCCACTGACTGAAGGGCAGTCTGGTCCCAGAACCGTGGAGAACTCAGAAAAAAATGTTAAAGTCTCTCTGGAAAGTAGAAGCCTGGGAAAAAACCAAACCAAACCCATTCTCCCATTGCCACCCAGAGATACTGTGAACATTTTGAGCTCACAGGGGAAGTGTAGGCTTTTTCCCACTGTCAATGTCTATGTTGAGGGAGTAAGGCAGCCTGAAACCTCTTGCTCCTAGGTCCCATAGTCTCCACTCCCCTTCCAGCTGGAAATTTGTGCTGCAACCAGAGGAACCAGAAATGGGGTGAGAAAACTTAGGGGACTGGGTTGTAAGATCAAAGGCTGGTCTTGCAGCAGTAATGACAGTTCCTAGGGGCACTGTGACATCATTGCATTCCACTCCTCCCAGGGGAGGGGACCACATCAGCGCGATGCCCGAGTCGCTGCTCCACGATGGGGGAGGGAAACACACGGTTTCGACCCAGGTCCTCAGAGACGCCAGCCCAAGAAGCCTAGGGAGGTCGAGCTTGGGGCAGCAGGAGGGGAGGGCAGAGTCTGCAGTAGGGAGCCCCGGGAGTCACCAGCCCAAAGCCACCCAGGGATGACTGGTGAGGGCAGGGCCTGGGGCTGGGGGACCCAGGTCCTGGGAGACGCAAGCCCAAAGAGCCCAGGGAGGTTGGGCTTGGGGTGGCAGGAGGTGAGGGCTGATTATGGAGCAGGGAGCCCCAGGAGTCACCTGCCCAAAGTCACCCTGGGGTGATTGGCAAGGGCAGGGACTGGGCTGCTTGCTGAAGGGGTGGGGCTGACTGACTAGGCTTTGGTTGGGGGAGCCCAGAGGGCTGGGGTTGGGGGGCCCCATCTGGTATGCCTCAGGAGTGGTATGGACTCTGGCACCGGTCTTGTCATCGGAGGGGATCTGTGGCTGGGTTGGGGGCCGTGACCTGGTGTGTTTTACCTTTTTCTTGGCTGCGGCCAATTTCCCCTGTTGTGTTTTTTCTGACATCGCGGGGTGGGGAGGGAGGCGGGGTTGGGGCCACATCAGCGAAATACCAGTGAGCACTGCTCAATGCCTCCAGTCACCTACCAGGCAGCTGTGCAACTGAGCCACAGGTGGCGTAACCAGGGCACCAATGGAACGCAGAATAGGGGCGTGGCCTTAATGCTCCAAGCCCATTGGTCAGTGAGAAAGATGAAAGGGAAAGGAGGCGTGGCCAGGCAGCAGCATGTCCAGAGGGACCTGTGGCATCATAAGGAAAGCTGCCCATGCAACCGCTGTCCCCGCCCACTCAGAGAAAGGGGAGGGGCCGCCCACTCTGGGAGAGGAGAAGGGCTGGGTTTTGCTTTAAAACTTTTAAAACTGTAAAAAATAAACTTTAAAAAATATATGTGTATATACTTTATATATATGTGTGTCTGTGTGTGTGTATCTATGTGTTCCTCCAGAGCTGTCTTCATTATGCAGCTTCTGTGCAAAGTCTGTGATTTTGGCCTATATTTTTCATCTTCAAATGGAGTACAAGAATTACCAGTATTACCTTAACTGAGATATAGATCCTATAAAAATGGAAAATCCATAGCATGCTTGATGATTAATGAAGCCGACTATAGTATCCAACATTCCAATAAGACAAAATAATCACAACAATTTCTCTTTTTTGGAAAAATGTTTGTCTTATTCTCCATTATTGTTAAGATTTCTTTTAAAAACAAGAAACATGTCTAATATCTTTAAAAACACAAAGCTTTTGGGCCGGGTGCGGTGGCTCACGCCTGTAATGCCATCACTTTGGGAGGCCGAGGTGGGTGGATTGCCTGAGGTCAGGAGTTCGAGACCAGCCTGGCCAACATGAAGAAACCCTGCCTCTACTAAAAATACAAAAACTAGCCAGGCGTGGTTGCGGGTGCCTGTAATCCCAGCTATTTGGGAGGCTGAGGCAGGAGAATCACTGGAACCCAGGAGATGGAGGTTGCAGTGAGCCAAGCTCACGCCACTGCACTCCAGCCTGGGCGACAGAGCAAGACTCCATCTCAAAAGAAATAAAATAAAATACAAAATAAGTAAGAACACAAAGCTTTCAATTTAATAACCACTTAAAGCTCTTTACTGGTTTAAGAGAAATACAAGGCCCATTTTTCTAGAATCACCTGGACTCTCTAAGCCTTGCAAATGAAACTGAATTTCTCACTTGATACTTGGCTATCACTTGCAGTCATGAAAACCAAGAATTTGTTATGTCACTGTGTATTGCTTGTTACCTGAAATCCACACTAGGCTGGGATCAAGGGTTGAATCTTTCATGATTTTCTCCATAACCTGTGTGCTTCTTATCCCACACCAAACTAAGCTTTTTTTCTAGAGCTCTGCAACTTACAGTTAGTATATGAGAGCAGTTCTCAAAAATGTAGTCTCTGGACTAGCAGCTCCAGCAGCACCTGGGAACTTCTTATAAATACACATTCTCAGGCCCCACCCTGGACCTGATGAATCAGAAACTCTGGAGTAGGGCTCAGCAATCTGTGCTGCAGTAATCCCTCCAGGTGTTCAAGAACCTCTGGCATACAGCAGGTAGAAAAATGTGTTTCCTTCTGTAGGTCCAAAACCAGGGATACTATATGTTCTGTCTCTATATGAAACAATGACGTGCAATTAAAAGACATAAATCTCCTTCCTGCTCCCACCTTCCAGCCAATGAGTTTTATTTTTATGAGTTAAATAAGAAAACAATCAGAGATTTCGTCTAAATCGCATATTTACAGGTATCAGTTCTCATCCAGCCTGATCTTATCCAATATCATTTATATTCTCTTACATGTGAAGTTTTAGAGAAGGATCTTCACAATGTAAGACTCAGGCACACTAGGAGTTCTATAATAAAACACCAAGTAGATCAGAATGTCCAAACTTACTGGAGAAGAAAAGTGGAATCATTGGCTATATTTTCAAATGGCAATAAACAGGAAATTAAAGTTTTGAATTTTTTTTCACCTTCATCCTTCCAAGTTAATAGAATTAAGCCAAAATACTTGTCTTCCAAAGCCTCTAGCCAGGCAAAATTTTACTATATTACTTCTTGCTTTTCAATGGCTATAAAGCAGACTCCTGGTAGGCACATTTGGTATACCTGCAAAGATGAAGAACTAAACAGTTCCATCTGTTCAATACTGAAACAAAAGTCCTGCCAACCTCGGATGGTGAGTGTAATACTTCAGCACTAGCACCAAAGCCTCAAATATGAAAAGATACCAAGAACACCACTAGCAAACAAAACTAAACTCTCGGCTGGGAGCTCTAGTTCATGCCGTAATCCCAGCACTTTGGCAAGCAAAGGTGGGAGGATTACTTGAAGCCAGGAATTCAAGACCAGCCTTGGCAGCATAGTGAATTCACACCTCTACAGAAAGTTTTTAAAATTAGCTGGGTGTGGCAGCACACTTCCCGGGGCTGCTGTGCCATTGCTGGAAACTTCTCTATGGAGAGTACCAAGTACTTCTACCTGTAGCATTTTCCCTGGCTGGAATCCTGCAATTATCACAGTAGCCTGAGATCCAAGAAGGCAGGGCAGGAGCATCCTGTCCCCTTCCCAGCAGGTGCAAGGGAGGCTGGGGGGTGAGGCACAAGCCAGTGGGAGGGTGAGGAGCAGGAGGGATGCATGGTGAGCCTCTGTTGACTGCTTGCTGCCTCAGCTGGAAGGTCAGGACCCAATGTCTATTACAGGTTAAATTACAGAAGTATTTCAGATTTTGGATTTTTTTCAGATTTTGGAATTCGAAAATCTGAAATCCAAAATGCTCCAATGAGCATTTCCTTTGAATCTGGCCTTCGAACATCATGTCGGCACTCAAACAGTTTTGGATTTTGAAGCATTTCAGATTTTGGATTTTCGGATGAGGGATGCTGTATTATCTTCTGAATGAGGCCACTCATTCAGGAAAGCCCAGAGCTTGGGGACATGGAGCTGCAGACCAAAGAGGTGATTTCTGTAGTGGCTTTCAGTGCAGAAGGGCCTACAAAGCGGTTTAAAGCAAGCCACAAAATAGGAAACCCAATATTTAGCTAATGGAACTCTGATAAAACCTGCTCAAGATGTCTGTCTCTACTAATTCAGATGGAGCCAAGCCAAAGCATCATTATTATTTTAAAAAGGCACCAATCCCTCTGCAAAAGCACTGAATTATATCATGATACAATCATCAATTGTACCATGAATCACCATCAGCGGTGGTCTTTTAGGGATATGAAGAAGGGGTTTTCACAGTACATCGCATGACACACCATCTTCCAAATCTCTAAACATTTCTCTCCACAGCCCAGTCCTCTCCATAGTTGTCCAAATCCCTCCCTCTTTTCTCTTGTTGTCTCCAAAACTCAAAACCATGCTCTGACTTTCTATATCCTGCCCTCCCCTTCTTGGACCACCTGGGAAGCCCCCTGCTTCCCCAGGGTGTCCCCTCCTCCCCTTCTGGGATCAGTCATCTTTCCTCAAATGGACCAGTTTGGCCTCTCTTAGTTTCTCCAACTCTGCATCTCAACCTTTCTCCCTTCACTACACAATAATGTCCAGGAGGCAAAGAGCCCACAAACCTGGGAACCTCCCTTTCCAGAAGGGAGGAGAGAGGTGACTACAAATATTTGGTTATGATTTTCTTCCCTGCCACGCCTGTTTTCATGGGCAGTGCTGAGCCCCGGTCCTGGCAGAGCTCAGAACCAGGCTCTCATGAGCTGGGGCAAGTGGGGCCTAGGGAACCTCTGGGTTGAGGACCTTGCACCCCACTCTGCAGCTGCCCTGCTGATTTGGCTCATGCAACCTCTCCTCCTGGGCTCAAGCGATCCTTCTACATCGGTCTCCCAAGTAGCTGGGATTTGGGCTACCACGTTTGGCTAATTTTTGTATCTTTTAGTACAGCTGGGGTTTCACCTGTAGCCCAGGCTGGTCTCGAACTCCTGGGCTCTAGTGATCTACCCTCCTCAGCCTCCCAAAGTGCTGGGATTACAGGTGTGAGCCACTGCGCCCAGCCTTGTGCCAGCTTTTAAATATCAACAAGGACAGATTAGAGAACAGTGGAAGAGGGTGAGCAGCATGATGAGGTGATACAGAAATAATTTCACACGAAGAACTGGGCATGCTTGGCCTTTTTTTTTTTTTTTTTTTTTAAAGCCATTCTGGGTTGGGTGCTGAGGCTCACACCTGTAAGCCTGTAATCCCAGCACTTTGGGAGGCCGAGGTGGGTGGATCACCTGAAGTCAGGAGTTCGAGACCAGCCTGGCCAACATGGTGAAACCCTGTCTCTACTAAAAATACAAAAAATTAGCTGGAATTGGTGGCATGTGCCTGTAATTCCAGCTACTCGGGCAGCTGAGGCAGGAGAATCGCTTGAACCTGGGAGGCGGAGGTTGCAGTGAGCTGATATCGTGCCATTGCACTCCAGCCTGGGCAACAAGAGTGAAACTCTGCCTCAAAAAAAAAAAAAAAAGGAAAGAAAGAAAAGAAAATATATCTATGCACCAGAGCTCAACACTAGGTTAGGAGCATTTCTGAGATTTGGAGCTATTCGACCATGGAAGTTCCTGGCACATACATCAGGTATTCACAATACCCTTTCTCAGGTGTTTGGTCACTGCTAGTGAGCCTGCCTGGATCAGTGTTTCCCAAATGGCAGTCATTTGCATCTTTGCATTTTTTTTTGGAGGGGGGGGTTGTGGGGGTATATTCCATACCAGATTTTTAAAAAATTGACATTAAAAATACATGAATAAAATGTGTAAAGTGCACTAATCTAAAGTGCACTGGATGTATTTTTTATTGATGTACATACTTTTGTTATCCATCACCCAGGTCAAAATACAGAATCAGCACCACAGAGGGTTCCCTCCTCCTCCTTCCCAGCCAATAATCTTCTCCTCCTACCTAACCAACTGTTCTTACTTCAATCACTGTCAACTAGTATTTTACATTCTTGAACTGCATATAAAGTGTCTCAAGTTTCACTTAACACTTTTCTTGAAATACACTTGTTTTTTGCCACTTTTTATTTGACCTAAGAAGTAACATTAATGAAACAATGATTTGACGTGATAGGCATTTCCCTCCTAATGAGCACTAAAACACTTAACTATTTGAAAAAAGAAGTTTCTCCGTGTACCAACTAATATATTCTCCTCGGCCGCCGTTGGTACACGGACCACATTTTGTTTCTCAAAGCAATCCGATGATTTCTGAGGTCCTTTGCAGCTTGAACACGGAACGACTGTGGTGATAGAGTAGCCAAAAGTTCACGGGAATGCACTGTCACAATTGTGATTCCGCCATAGCGCCGTGCATCCATCCAACACTTGTTTAATACCTATATTTAATACCTAATACCTTAGACTGTCCTAGGCTGTGGACACAGAAGACTAAACCCCACTTCCTGAGTTGAAGTGGGGGAAATAGAGGAGTAAATCATTTCACGATGTGTGGTTAAATGCTACAGCTCAGGTAACCACGAGCACACAGAGAAAGGGCAGTTTCTGGAAACAGGGCGGAGAGGAGACCGTGAGTGGGCATTTCCCAGAGCAGTCTCTGCCAGCCACCCTGCTGTGATCACTTTGCCACAGAGCAGCCCCGGCGGTCAACCTCAGCCTCCCTTAGCAACCTGAGCGCCCCGCCCAGGTGCCTTACTATTGGTCTCGTGGAGCGGGATGGGCAGCTCTGCCGTGCAATCCCAGCTCGCAGCCCTTGCTCCGCGTGTACTCACGGGAGGACTCGCAGACGTTACTGCCCTCTTGCGTGCCCCGGCCACCCCCGGGCGGCTTGTAGCCGGTGCGCGGGGTGGCTGGGGCTACGTGCAGAGCTGTCGCGGAGCCGGAGCAGCAGCGGTGAAGGCCCTCGGCTCGGCCGAGACCGCCGTGCCCACTGCTCGCCTCGGTTGCCGCCGCTTTAGCCGCAGCCGCTGCTGCCGCCGCCGGGGGAGAGGCAGCCTATTGTCTTTCTCCGCGGCGAAGGTGAGGAGCTGTCTCGGCTCGGCCCGCGGGGGAGCCCCGGGAGCCGCACGGTGAGAGCGCAACTTAGTTGGCGGAGTTGGGGGAAGTTTTGTGATTTGAGGAGGGGTCGGGGTGCGGAGCGCGGCCCGTCCCCTGCGGCCGCTCGGTGGGGCGGGCCCCAGAGGAGGGTCGGGGGCTGCGCGGGGCTTCAGGGGCGGGCGGCACGGATGGGTAGCCGGGCGGCGCGGGGACCTCAGCTTTGCGGACCCCTCCTCCCTGCGCATCACCCTTCTCCCGCATTGTCTGCTTGGGGCTCGGCGCGCCTCCCACTCCGCAGCCCAACTTGGGGGCCGTCGCCGCTTTCCGGATGGGGGGCGCGCCCGGCCGCGGATGGCCCCGAACCCTTGCCCCGGGTCCCCGGGTTGGCGCCGCTGGGGCGGACTCACTCCTCCCCTGGGGCGGGCGGCCGCGGTGTGGAGTCCGCGCCGCGAACAAGTGCTGCGGGCGCGAGGGAGCGGTTCCCCGGGGCCGACGCGGACGGTAAACCTGTCCGGCGGCGCCCGTCTGCTGGGGCCTCTCCGCTGTTTCTCGCGGGCGCGGCCCGGCTGAAACTGCGACCGTCGGAGGCGAGCGGCCCTCTGGGACCCGTGCAGCCGGTCCACCTTGCAGCTATACTTTGAGACTAAACAATTTTTTTTTTTTTTGCAAAGGCAAACCGGTATGTGAAGTTGAAAAAATCAAAAACCCTCAAATTTTCCTTCTTTTTTTTTTTTTTTAAATCAAGAAAGGGGGTAGATAGGTTTGTTTTGTTTTGGAAATAGTTTTTATAGCAGAGTGATACCGTCACATTTAATGATCCTACTGTGAATTCAAGAATTCACGATGAAAGTTGGATTGAGCGGTATTTTGGTGTTCATTCTTTGCTGATACTCATTAATGAAGTTAGTTGGAGAATTTATTGCTTCAGTACAGTAAAAACCAGTGTGCCTTTTTTTTTGTTACTACTCCCCCCTCCCCGCATTGTTTTATTTTTCGAAGAAGCACTTTATTCAGTTTTTCTAAGCCACGGGATTGCCCAGATGAGGACCAACGGTGCAGTTCTTGAAAGGTCATTATTGGCAAGTTTGTGAGGGAGCTAAGATGAGTTGAGATAAACCAGTGTTACTGTTCTTGTATTCTGTCGTGGACTCTTGGGGATTTGCAGGCTGCATTAAGTACAAGTCTGGTCCAGTTTTGGGTGCACGTATTCCACTGAATTTGGTTCGTCTGGCTTATTATATGAACATGATTCTGTTTCACTTCCCCAGATGGAACTAGCTTAAATGTCTATCATTTATAGTGACAAATGATCCAAATGGCTAGAGTGTCATTTATTAACTTCAGTTGTAGTCCTTTACCTTACCTTCTGCTAAATGAAAAAGAAAAATTTGACAAATACTGTGTGCGTCAGTTTGCTCTGAGTGATTTCTCGTGCTAAGTGAGTCCTGTGGAGAAGCGTTCCTGGGCTTTTCTGGTTTGGTGGGCCTTGTGTTATAAAACCAATTTTCTTCACCTGATGAAGCTAAAGACAAATTTTCTTCAGGCACAGGCATTGCCCTTTTAAACTACAGAGCCACTTGTAGGATTCACAATACTCACTCAATGGCTTCCCTTCCTGGCAGTGTGGTTTTGTGTGTGTGTGTGATTGTGGGGAAGGAGGCTGACAGAGGTTGGAAGGGATTGTCAGGGAGGGACATCATGTAAGCAAGTACTAACAACATAACGTGACGAGGGCACCAGTTGCTTTCCTTCTGTGGGCGGTGATGGCATGTTATACTGTAGGTACTATTGTTGTAGGATTTCTCACAGTTCGTTTGCCTTGACTAAATGGTAACTGCACACATACTATACTATAAATGGACTCCTCCTCTAGTCCTTTAACTCCTTGAGGGCTGTGATAGACCTTATTTAACTTTGTACCCTCTTTGCCAGTGGTCTTAACATAGTGCAGGCACGGTATGTGTTTGAATTGGGTAAATTACTTTTACTGCCTAGTGGTAGCTGGTGTACACAGGAGAGGGCCACCAACTCTGGGGACTTGTCCAAAATGACAATTCACTTGCAGATCTCTGATGAAATTTACTTTAAAAGGACTTCTAACCTTTTTTTTAATCTGTCGGTTATTTTTTGAAAAGAAGTGGGGCTTAACTAGTGCTCTAAGGATTTTAACAAGAGATTCCGATTTAGAAATCTGTCCCCCCTTTTGGTGAAATTCTTATTTTTTTTAGAGTCAGAATCTTCACTGTTGCCCAGTTGTCTTCCTGGGACCCAAGCCGTCCTCCCACCTCAGCCTCCCACAGTACTGGAATTACAGGCGTGAGCCACCCCACCCAGCTGGTGAAATTATTAAAATTGTAGTGAAAACTCTGCCTCCATTGTGAAATTGGAAAAAAATTAGAAATTTTAGAAAAAAGTACGCCCTTTGGAGCTAGGTAGAGTTCAGATCCCCACATTTCCATTGAGTAGTTGCATAGCCTCTCAGAGCTTCAGCTTCCTACTCCTTAAGGGTTAGTAACATGCTTTGCAGTGTTGTTAGGAATCAGTGAAACTGTGTGAGATACTTAACTGCAGTATCTAACATGGAGTAGGTAGCTATTTCCTGGTAGCTGTAATGATAATAATTTTGATACGTTTTTACATGACTTAAGCATTCTGAAAAGTCTGATGCTTCTGAGTATGGAGGCTTAGCTATTTCTTTCATAAAGAAGGGGCCCTGAGACTTGTGAGTCTTATCCAAATGCGTTTCTTCAAAGGTGTCAGATGAACTGAAGGATAATGGAAACAATAGCAAATTTATCTTCTCAGTCACCTGTGAGTCTTCCTTTGAGAGTGGGACTTGCAGAGTACTTGGTAGGGTAGAGCTCTTTGTGACTATGCTATTTAGGAAATGGTGAGAGATGGATTGTTTTCAGTACATCAGTCATAAGAGGATATGAGTGAGTTCCAACTTTCCTTATTTTACCTTAGTCTTGACAAATAACAAGTATGGATTATGTCTGTATTTCTCCGACTTGTTTAAGGTAGAACTGGACTGGGTGTTAACAGTGTTAGTTCAGTAGAGACATGAGCAAATCACTCACTTCCCCTTCAAGATAACACTTTAAAGGTGCCACCATTTGCAGAAGAAAGCAGTGATTTAAAGCAGCTATACTAGCACAGTTTAGAATACTTACACTAGCTGATGGAGTAGATACATTCTAGAAATATTCACCTGTAGTGGGAGTTGAACAGTGAGAACACACGGACACAGGGAGGGGGGAACATCACACACTGGGGCCTGTTGGGGGTTGGGGGGCTAGGGGAGGGATAGCATTAGGAGAAATACCTAGTGTAGATGACGAGTTGATGGGTGCAGCAAACCACCATGGCACGTGTGTACCTATGCAACAAACCTGCACGTTCTGCACATATACCCCAGAACTTAAAGTATAATAATAAGAAAGAAAAATAAATATTTACCTGTTAAGGACATTTCTGTGTATTTTATTCCATCTTTCCAATAGTTTTCTTATGAAGAGATTATAGTAAACCTTTGAACTTAACAGATTGAGGGTAAACCTTTAAAAAATATATTTGGTCACACTTACAGACTGAGGGTAAAAACATTCCTGACAAAGCTAGGCGAAGACACCTGGACTTTTTTTTTTTTTTTGAGACGGAGTCTCGCTCTGTCACCCAGGCTGGAGTGCAGTAGCACGATCTTGGCTCACTGCAACCTCTGCTTCCCCGGTTGAAGCGAATCTTCTGCCTCTCCCGAGTAGCTGGGACTACAGGCACACGCCACCATGCCTGACTAATTTTTTATTTTTAGTAGAGACGGGGTTTCACCATATTGACCAGGCTGGTCTTGAACTCCTGACCTCGTGATCCACCCGCCTCAGCCTCCTAAAGTGCTGGGATTACAGGCATGAGCCACTGCACCCGGCTGAAACTTGGACTTTTGATGTTTCCTTCTTTTAAAGTTAACATCTAGCACTTGAATAGACTTGGTTATTACTGATGGGGACAGGCATCCATTTGGAAGTAGCTTCCCTCTCTCTCTCTTTCCCAGGTTAGGCTGTCTTACTGCTGTAAATGGGGAGAGAAGAGAAAGCCGTGGGTGGAAGAAAGTGTTTCATGGCCTGGTGCGGTGGCTCATGCCTGTAATCCCAGCACTTTGGGAGGCCGAGGCGGGTGGATCACTTGAGTTCAGGAGTTCAAGACCAGCCTGGCCAACATGGTGAAACCCCGTTTCTACTAAAAACAGAAAAATTAGCTGGGCATGGTGGCGGGCACCTGTAATCCCAGCTACTTGGGAGGCTGAGGCAGGAGAATCACTTGAACCCAGGAGATGGAGGTTGCAGTGAGCCGAGATTGCACCACTTCACTCCAGCCTGGTCGACAGAGCGAGACCTTGTCTCAAAAAAAAAAAAAAAAAAAAAAAAAAAAGTGTCCCACTCAGTTGCCCAGGCTGAAACGCAGTGGCAGGATCACTGCTCACTGCAGCCTTGAACCAAGCGATTATCCCACCTCAGCCTCCCAAGTAGCTGGGATCACATGCATGCACCGCCATGCCTGGCTAATTTTTTTATTTTTGTAGAGACAGGGTCTTTCTATGTTGCCCAGCCTGGTCTCAAACTCCCGGGATGAAGCAATCCTCCCACCATGGTCTCCCAAAGTGTAGGGCTTACAGGCGTGAGAGCCTGCTGGGGTTTTTGATTGACATTGCATTGAAACTGGAAATCAGTTAGGAGGCAACTGACATTTTAATAATGAGCCATGAACATGGTATATCTATTTATTTAGACCTTCTTAGATTTTTCGTCAGTGTTTTGTAGTTTTTAGCAGTTGGATCTTGCTTGTATTTTGTAATCTTACACATTTATTTCATGTTTGTGGTACTGTTGTGAATGATACTTCTCAATTTCCAGTTGGTGATTGCTAGTATATAGGAAGGTGATTTTATGTTATATGCTGACCTTGGATTCTACAACCTTGCTAAACTCATTTTTAGTACTAGAAGCTTTTTTGTAGATTTTTGGAATTTTGTGCATAGACAGTAATGTCACTGGCAAATAAGGGCAGTTTAATTTCTTTGTTTTCACTTTGTATGCTTTTATTTCCTTTTTTTTTTTTGAGACGGAGTTTCTCTCTTGTTGCCCAGTAAATTAGCCCATGTAAATATTTCTGTTTGTATCTCTTGAAAGTAAAGACTCTTTTAACCATGGATGAGTGTCTTGATCAAATCAACATGGCTTGTTCATGTCGATACCATTTGCTCAGAGGGGAAAGATTAAGGGAAAAATGGGGTTGGATTTGAAATGCCAGGACCTGTCTACTGGGTTTGTGATTTGTTATTCTCTAAAGTTGTAGCT